>NC_000013.11:81159237-81312078 GCF_000001405.40 Homo sapiens
GATACAGAACATAATGCAACATTATGTAAATAGATTCTATGCGGCAGTATCTACGCTGCTTTATCTCAAATAAATATAGCTTTTCAGAGAACATAATATGATATTTATACATATATCTGTGATATTGTTTGGATCTATGTCCCTACTCAAATTTCATGTCAGAATGTAATCCTTAGTGTTGGAGGTGAGTCCTGGTGGGAGGTGATTAAATCATGAGGGCAAATTACCCCTTTGGTGATATTCTCATGATAGAGTTTCTCATGATACCTGGTTGTTTAAAAGTGTGTGGCACTTCCCTCCTCTCTCCCTTCCCTGCCTGCTTTCACTTCTCCTTCCACCATGATTGTGAATTTCCTGAGGCCTCCCCAGAAGCAGAAGCCGCTATGATTCCTACACAGTCTTCAGAACCTTGAGCCAATTAAACCTCTTTTTTAAATAAATTACCCAGTGTGAGGTATTTCTTTACAGCAGTGTGAGAACAGACTAATATAACCTGCTAATACTTTGCATATATAACTGTGAAAAAGGGACAACTCAGGATATAAACCTTGAAAAGAGTCATAAACAATATTGAAGAGAAAAGTAGTTTCATAGCTCACAGAAGACAGGGATATGACTAGGTCCAAAATCCTAATGAAAATATAGAGTCATGCGCTGAGAATGACATTTAGATCAACAGTGAACTGCATATAGGCTGGTGATCCCATAAGAGAATATAATATTTATTTTTACTGTATCTTTTCTATGTTTAGATATACAAATCCTTACCATTGTGATACAATTGTGTATGGTATTCAGTATAGAAACATGCTTTACAGGTTTGTAGCCCAGGAGCAATAGGCTCTACCATATAGCCTGGGAGTGGAGTAGGCAATACCATCTAGGTTTCTGTAAGTACACTCTATGATGTCCACACAACAACAAAATAACCTAATGACTTATTTCTCAGAGTATTTCCCTGTCATTAGGTGACACACGATTGTACTAGAAATCATTGGCTAAATTGTGCAGTGAAATTCATGATTTTGAAATATAATTGAATATCTGCTGTATTCGTTCCTTAATGATGTTATAACATTCTACTACAGACATGGTGGCTTAAAACAACACAAATTTATTCTCAAGTAGCTCCGGCAGTCAGAATCTAAAATGGATCCACAAGGCTATGTTCCTTTTGGAGACACCAGGCAGGAATCCACTTCCATGAGTTTTAATCTTTCAATGTCTCCGTGCATTTCTAGGCTGGTAGCCCCTACCTCCACCATTAAAATGAACCAACTTAACATCTGTTCCTGACCTCATAACAAAGAAGTTCTGAGGACTATATGCTTTGTTGATTAATTCTACCAAGCAATTTACAAAGGCACACATACCGATCATTCTTAAACTATTCCAAAAACATAAGAGAACATTTTCAAGCTCATTCCCTCAGTTTAGCATTACTCTGTTAAGAAACCCAGACATAATACTATAGTACTGTAAAACAAAATTACACACCAGTTTTCCTTATGAATATAGAAACAAAAATTCTTTACCATTTAATCCAGCAATCCCATTACTTGATATATACCCAAAGGAAAATACATCATTCAACAAAAAAGATGAATGCGCTCATATATTAATTGCAGTCCTATTCACAATAATAAAGACATGGGATTAACCTAGGTGCCCATCAATGGTGGATTGAATAAAGAAAATGTGATATAGATACCCTATGGGACACTATGCAGCCATTAAAAAAGAATGAAATCATGTACTTTGTGGCAATGTGGATGCAGCTGGGGGCCATTATCCTAAGTGAATTAACACAGGAACAGAAAACCAAATACCACATGTTCTCACACAAGTGGGAGCTAAACTTTGAGTACACAAGGACATAGAGATTGTAATAATAGAAACTTAGGGCTACTAGAAAGGGAAAGGAAAGAGGTGGGGAGTGGGCTGAAAAACTACCTATTGGGTACTATGCTCACTACCTGGGTGATGGGATTATCCATATCCCAAACCCCAGCATCACACAATATACCCATGTAACAAACCTGCACATATACCCTCTGAATCTAAACAAAAGTTGAATCTTTTAAAATCCTCAGTAAAACACTAGGAAACAAATCCAGCAGCATATTTTAAAAGATTATACACCATGAACAAATAGTATTTATCCCAGGAATGCAAGAGAGATTCAACATGTAAAAAGCAATCATGGCTGGGTGCAGTGCCTCATGCCTGCAATCCCAGCATTTTGAAAGGCTGAAGTGGGCAGATTACTTAAGCTCAGGAGTTCGAGATCAGCTTGGGCAACATGGTGAAACCCTGTAATTATAAAATATCCAAAAAATTACCCAGGTATGGTGGTGCATGTCTATGTTCCCAGTTACTCAGAAGGCATAGGTTGGGGGATTGCTTGAGCCCAGGATTTCGAGGCTGCAGTGAGAGATTGCACCACTGCACTCCAGCCTGGGTGCCAGAGGGAGCTCTATCTCAGAAAAAAAAAAAGGCATTCAAATTGAAAAATAAAAAGTAAAACTGTATTAATAATAACATGACTTTATACACAGAAAATCCTAAAGAATTCATAAGAAGCTATGGGCACTAATACATTCAGCAAAGTTACAGAATACAAGTACAACACCAGAAATGAGGTTTATTTCTATATACCAGCAATGAACAAGCAAAAAAGGCATTAGGGAAATAATTTCATTTACAACTGCATCCAAAAGAATAAAATAGGAATAAATGCTAAAAGCCATCAGACTTAGACACTGAAAACTACAAAACACTGGTTAAAGAAATTTTAAAATAGCCAAATAAGTGGGAAGACATTCTATGTTCATGTTTTAGAATACTTTATATTTTTAATATGACAATATTCCCTCAAATGATCAACAGATGGAATACAAGTCCTATTTAAATTTCAATGTCAATTTGCAGAAATGGAAAAGCTAATTCTTAAATTTATAGGGACTCTGAACCGTCAAAATGATCTCCAAAAAGAATAGAGTTGAAGGACTCACACTTCTCAATTTCAAAACCTACATAAAGCCACATTAATCAAAATGAGGTGGTACTGGCATAAGGATAGACATACAGATCAATGTAACACAATTCAGAGTTCAGAAATAAATACATCTATTATTTTGTTTTTAGAAGTATTATTATTATAAATACATCTATGGTCAATTGATTTTCAATAAGATGCTGTGAGTACTCACCAAGGAAAGAATAGACTAACAAGTGGTGCAGGGAAAACTGGATATCTACAGGCAAAAAAAATGAAAGTTGGACCCTTATTTCACACCACATACAAAAATTAATTCAAAAAGGATAGACAAACTAAATAGAAGAGCTAAAACAACACAACTTTTAGAGAAAAGATAAGAGTGGATCTTCTTGATCTTGAATTTGGTAATGATTTCTTAAATGTGATAACAAACCCACACACAACAAAAGAGAGAAAATTGGACTTCATCAAAACTTTAAAAAATTGTGCATTGAAGGACACATGAAGAGAATGAAAAGGCTGGGCACAGTAGCTCACACTTGTAATTAGCATTTTGTGAGGCTGAGGTGGGAGGATCACTTAAGCCCAGGAATTGGAGACCAGCCTGGGGAACATAGCAAGACCCCGTTTCCACCAAAAACCAAAAAAAAAAAAAAAAAAAAAGAAAAGAAAATTAGCCAGGTGCGGGGATTCATGACTGTAGTCCCAGCTACCTGGGAAGCTGAGGCAGGAGGATTGCTTAAGCACAGGAGTTGAAGGCTTCAGTGAGCCATGATTGCATCACTGCACTCCAATCTGTGTGACAGAGCAAGACCCTGTCACCAAAAAAAAAAAAAAAAAAAAAAAGAGAGAAAAGAGAATGAAAAGACCACTGTACAAAATAGAAAAAAATTTGCATATCATGCATCTAATACAAGTTTTGTAACCAGAGTATATAAATATTCATATAACTCAAAACAAATAATCTAATAAAAATGAGCAAATCTTGAATAGTCATTTCTCCAAAGAACATACACAAATGGCCAACAGAGGATTCTCAATGTCATTATTAGGGAAACACAAATCAAAACCACAGAAATATACCACTGTATATGCAGTAAAATGGCTGTAACAAACAAAAAATGAAAAATAACAAGTGTTGGCAAAGACGTGGAAAAATTGAAACCCTCATACATTGTTTTTGGGACTATACAATGGTGAAGCTACTGTGAAAAAGAGTTCACTGGCTCCACAATAAGTTAAACGTAGAATTACCATGAACCAGCAACTCCACTTCTAAATATATATCCTCCAAATTGAAAATAGGGATTCAAACATAAACGCCTTAACAAATGTTCATAGCAGTGCTATCATCATAGCTAAAAGGTGAAAACACCCTGAATGTTGATCAGTTGGTAAATGGATAAAGAAATGATGCCATATCTATACAATGGAATATTATTTTTCCACAAAGAGAATAAAGTACTAATACAAGTTACAACGTGGGTGAACCTTGAGAACATTATCGTAAGTGAAAAAAGCCAGACACAAAAGACCACATACTGTACAGTTTCTTTTATGTCAAATATCCAGAATTAGCAAATCCATAGGGACTGCAAGCAGATAAACATTTGCCTGGGAGTGAGTGATGTTTGCCAAGATGAGATGTGGATGGGGACACAGCCAAACCCTATCATTCTACCCCGGCCTCTCTCAAACCTCATGTCCTCACATTTCAAAACCAATCATACCTTCCCAACAGTCCCCCAGAGTCTTAACTCATTTCATCATTAACTCAAAAGTCCAAAGTCCAAAGTCTCATCTGAGACAAGGCAAGTCCCTTGTGCCTATGAGCTGGTAAAATCAACAGCAAGTTAGTTACTTCCTAGATACAATGAGGGTACAGGCATTGGGTAAATACAGCCATTCCAAAAGGGAGAAATTGGCCAAAACTAAAGGACTACAAGCCCCATGGAAGTCTGAAATCCAGCAGGGCAGTCAAATCTTAAATCTCCAAAATGATCTCCTTTGACTCTATGTCTCACATCAAGGTCCACTGATGCAAGAAGTGGGTTCCTATGGTCTTAGGCAGCTCCCTCCCTGTGGCATTGCAGGGTACAGCCTCCCTCTCAGCTGTTTTCACAGGCTGGCGTTCAGTGTCTGCGACTTTTCCAGGTGAATGGTACCAGCTGTCAGTAGATCTACCATTCTGGGGTCTGGAGGAGGGTGGCCCTCTTCTCACAGCTCCACTAGGTGGTGCCCCAGTAGGAACTCTGTGTGGGGGCAACGATCCCACATTTCCCTTCTGCACGGTCCTAGCAGGGGTTTTCAATGAGGGCCTCACCCCTGCAGCAAATTTCTGCCTGAGCATCCAGGCAGTTCCATACATCTTCTGAAATCTAGGCAGAAGTTCCCAAACCCCAATTATTGACTTCTGTGCACTCCCAGGCTCAACACTACATGGAAGCTGTCAAGGCTTGTGGCTTGCACCCTCTGAAGCCACAGCCAAAGCTCTATGTTGGCCTCTTTCAACCATGGCTAGAGCAGCTGGGATGCAGGTCACCCTGTCCCTAGGCTGCACACAGCTAAGGGACCCTGGGCCTGGCCCATGAAACCATGTTTTCCTCCTAGGCCTCTGGGCCTGTGATGGGAGGAGATGCCTTGAAGACCTCTGACATGTCCTGGAGATATTTTCCTCATTGTCTTGGTGATTAACAGTGGGCTCCTCGTTACTTATGAAAAGTTCTGCAGCTGGCTTGAATTTCTATTCAGAAAATGGGATTTTCTTTTCTATTAAATTGTCAGGCTGCAAATTTTCCGGGCTTTTATGCTCTCTTTCCCTTACAAAACTAAATGCCTTTAACAGCACGCAAGTCACCTCTTGAATGCTTTGCTGCTTTGAAATTTCCTCTTCCAGATATCCCAAATAATCTCTCTCAAGTTCAAAGTTCCACAGATCTCCAGGGAAGGGGCAAAATGCCTCCAGTCTCTTTGCTAAAACCTAACAGGAGTCTCCTTCGCTCCAGTTCCCAACAAGTTCCTCATCTCCATCTGAGACCACCTCAGCCTGGACGTCATTGTTCATGTCACCATCAGTATTTTGGGCAAAGTCATTCAACAAGTCTCTAGGAAATTCCAGACTTTCCCACATGTTCCTGTCTTCTTCTGAGCCCTCCAATTTGTTCCAACCTCTGCCTGTTATCCAGTTCCAAAGTTGCTTCCACATTTTTGGGTATCTTTTCAGTAACGCCCTACTATACTGGTACCAATTTACTGTATTAGTCCATTTTCACACTGCTGATAAAGACATACCCAAGACTGGGGAAAAAGGTGGTTTAATGGACTTACAGTTCCACATGGCTGGGTAAGCCTCACAATCATGGTAGAAGACAAGGAGGAGCAAGTCACATCTTACATGGATGGAGACAGGCAAAGACAGAGATTGTGCAGGGGAACTCCCCCTTATAAAATTATCAGATCTCATGAGGCTTATTCACTATCAGGAGAACAGCAGGGGAAAGGCCTGCCCCATGATTCAATTACCTCCTACTGGGTCCCTCCCTAAACACAAGGGAATTCAATATGAGATTTGGGTTGGGATGCAGCCAAACCATATCAAAAGTTTCTTGAATTAGATGGTAATGATGGTTACATAACTGAATTTTACACTCTGAGGTGGTTAAAATGGTAATTTATTTTACATGTTTTAGACAATTAAAAAAATAACTATGCATACTGAATATCAACATGCGGGAAACTCAGTCACAGATTAATTCAAGGAAAATTAACCTTCTCCAAGTATTAAGTGGCATATTTGTTTATTAAACGTATGATTTTATTTTCTCTTTCTTAAATAAAAAAACTTGTTTACAGAAGCAGGAACTGACTAGTGGGCTACTGCTATGCTCACTAGTGAGCATGCTTTATTTGCCAAAAGGCTCTTCTTTTTTTGCTCTGTTTCATGTTAATGAAATTCCACTTATAGTTATTTTACATGCTCATCTCTTTGATTAGGAAAAATGCCTTTTGAATGGAGTCACTTATTATCAGCCCATCTCTCCTTTGGATGAAAAGTTTAAAAATGAGCATTTTTAAATATAACTAAAGCATTATTTTAAGAATATTGCCCTATCATTAAAAGTAATTGAATATAATATTTTCACCTATAATTTTATCCCTGCCTCATTTTTTTACCCTACTTACGTCAAGTCCCTGATTTCATCATGCTTTTAATTAAAATATGTCTGGATTTTGTTTCTCTCTCATTAATTGATCTGCCTTAACCCTAAGGTAGACTCTTATCTCACACCAGGATGATTGCGTTAGTTTCTTGTTCTCTCTGATTTTAAGGCCTTTACATTTCAACCCGTTTGATATGTTTCTGCCAGATTATGCTTCCTAAAATATAGCTTTTACATATTTCTTATGCTTTAAATTCTGCTGTGATCCTCCATGCCCTCATAATCAAGTCTAATTTCAATTGTGTGTTATCTCATGTATTTTAGCAAATTACTGTTCTTACCTATATCTTTTTACACTTTTTCATTATTTGTTGTCATTTCACAATGACTAATTTAAACATAAGACTATTGTATTAGTTCATTTTCACACTGTTATAAAGATATACCATAACTGAAACTGGGTTATTTATAAAGAAAAGAGGTTTAATTGACTAACAGTTCTGCATGGCTAAGGAAGCTTCAGGAAACTTACAATCACAGCAAAAAGGGAAGAGGCACGTCTTACATGGTGGCAGGCGACAGAGAAAGTGAGCAAGAACAGGGAAAACTGCCTTCTAAGACCATCAGATCTCATGAGAACTCACTCACTATCACGAGAACAGCATGGGGAAAGCTGCTCCCATGATTTCATCACCTCCCACCTTGTCCTGCCCTCAACAGGTAGAGATTATGGGGATTACAACTGGAGATGAGATTTGGGTGGAGACACAGAGCCATACTACATTGACTATGCATAGCAAGACATGCACTATATGTAAAGAATCTGGTTTGTCTCTTGAGACAGAAGAAATATAATTGAATTTTAATTTTAGGATTTATTTCTTGAAATACTGAGAAAGTCACAAATTATTGAAATTAGTTTCCATATCTATACAATGAAAATTTGAAATGTCTCCTTTCTATCTCCTATAGTTTTTGTGAAGTCACAATGAGGTACTACATGTTAAACACGTTGAAAATAAGAGTTGATACTAGTTTGCATACAGTGCCATCATACCTTACTCATGACAGAACAGCAAATGTAGTACTTTCTACCAAATGTTTTTAAGATAGGTATAGCTCTGTCCTTTGTCATTCTTCTTTCTCATTATGCTGTGTAACTTTATCGAAGAGAGGAATGAGTGTAAAAAATTGGCTTCGTGTGAATACTCCTCAGGTCAGTGGAGAAGAAGCGTTATTTTTATTCCCGATTATTAACTACAACCGCAGTCTGGCCTTCATAAAGCCAGCACAAAAGATGACTAATTTCAGAAAAACAGCTACTCCTAAAATAAAATTGTGCTGTAAATACGTTTATTATTTTCTCCTTAGATAAGCAGAGTGTTGTCTCTAAAATATAAAATACAGCATTAGGAATACTGATCTTCTTGGTTGGCAATTTTTAACAATAATATCTCAATGTTGAAAATTTCCCATACTAGTTAACTAATTTATTTATAGAGCACAGCAATATCTCTAACTCTGAAAAAAATTATCTTACAATTGCTTATTCCAAAATTCTACCTCCAAGAAGCTATTATGTTGAGCCAGTAACTGGTTAGTTTAATGTGGTCATATTTTTGTTTTAAATTTGATTTTTTCCCCTTTCACTGAATAAGAGCTATGCTGAGAATGATAGCCTTACTTCTTTTTTTCTTTCTTTCTTTTTCTTTCTTTCTTTCTTTCTTTCTTTCTTTCTTTCTTTCTTTCTTTCTTTCTCTCTTTCTTTCTCTCTTTCTTTCTCTTTCTTTCTTTTCTTTCTCTCTTTCTTTCTCTTTCTTTCTTTCTTTCTTTCTTTCTTTTTTTCTTTCTTTCTTTCTTTCTTTCTTTCTTTCTTTCTTTCTTTCTTTCTTTCTTTCTTTCTTTCCTTCCTTCCTTCCTTCCTTCCTTCTTTTTTTTTTAACAGAGTCATGCTCTATCCCCCAGGCTGGAGTGCAGTGGCACTATCTTGGTTCACTGCAACCTCTGCCTCCCGGTTCAAGCGATTCTCATGCCTCAGCCTCCTAAGTAGCTGGGATTACAGGGGTACACTACCATGCCCAGCTAACTTTTTGTATTTTTAATAGAGATGAGGTTTCATTATGCTGGCCAGGCCGCTCTCGGATTCCTGGCATCAAGTGGTCCGTGGGCCTCAGCCTCCCAAAGTGCTGGGATTACAGGCATGAGCCACCATGCCTGTCCAATAGTCTCACTTTTAATAATGAGAAGGTAAAACTGAAGACTTGATTTTCTATGTCTGAAAATTTGTGGTTTGCCAGCTACAGGGACAGAGACAAATATACCATATTCCTGAAGTCCTGTTTATTTTATTTGTTGCTAGTATAGTATACATAAAAACAAAATATTTTCATGTCCTGAATGCAATTGTAGTTGGAATACTTTTCTGCTTAACCCTTTTTTCCGTGTGAAATTATAAAAACTATAGATGAATGGATGAAATATTTTCTTTATGCTCATGATAAATGTGTGACACTAGAAGAAACAAGACTATGTTGAATTCCCAAATGTGATGCTGCCTCATTCAGGAAACTGCTTTTGTCACTTTTCCCAGTTCAAAGTAATTTTTTTGTGTGTGCAAATTGTTCTTTCATGATATATGCAATGAAACAGGAGGTATAGAATTAAAATGAAAAGAAAATTTGAATTAGAAAAGATCTGGCTTTATGTGTGAATAGAAAAGTTCAATTCGTATAGAAAGTCATGAGGAAATTTGAGACCCAAATATTTCCCATTCTAGAAAGAAAAACAGCAGCAACCTAAGGTTTATCTCAAGTTCCACAGCTGTTCAAGTTCTATTTCATTTGCCCTATTGAAGGCTAAAATTCTAGTCTTTCTTCTTTTCCTAGTTAAGCCTCAGGTGAAAAAGCTTAAGTTAATCATACTCCTCAAACATACACATTATTTCCATCAGCCTAAGGCTTTTTATTATTTATCAATTTGTTTATATGCTTGTTTGATTTTTTCCTTTTATCTCCATTTTCACCATTTTGTGCAAATCCTTATATTTACATATTTCTGTAGAAAATGTATTATTGTGCATGCTTATTTTAAGTTTGAATACATAATGCTATTTTATAGATTACATTGTCATTTCAACTACATTTTCCAAAACCATCAGCATTTCTGTATCTTCTGCATAGTATTCTATGATATCCATCCACCACTTTCTATAAGCTCACTCAAGGACAGACACACAGGTTGCCTCAACTCCCTAGCAAATAAACAACTATACACTGCCTACCCTTGAATATGCTCCTTAATGGTCATATTGATCATGGCTTTGGTATTTATACCCAGTAAAAGAATTGCAAGGGCATAGCATGGCATAAATTTTATTTTGAAATATAATTTATAAATTTATCAATATAAATTGAGCCAATGAATAATTTAATACATTGCTTGCAAAAAAGGTAAAACAATATCCCATGCCCTCCTTCTACTTTTCCCTTTTCCTACTTCTACTCAAGCTGTTCTTCCCAATTTTTTTCCTCTCTCTATTCAAATCCTGGTTTTCATATTTCCAATTTTTAAATTGATCTTTTTTCAAAATTATCTTTAGCAGCAGAGCACTTCTTCAAAGAAAATCAGGTGTATAGAGCAAATTATGTGTGCATGTATGTGAGTGCATGTGAGTATGCATATATATGTGTACACTCATACACATATCAAATCAAAGACTTCCACTTTCATTGAGTTGGGTTGGGAGCTGTTCCACTGCTGCCTGCTACTCCCTCCCCTAGGGGCATCCTGGGAAGTTCCTAGAGCAGTAGCATCAGGTTAAAAAACTTAAATCTTTGAGATAGATTTGTACAAGTTGGGAGGAATAATAATATATATTACTCTTTAATAGATATTCCAGTATAATTTACATCTCAAAGCATCAAATTTAACAAGGAGTACAAGGAAGCAGAGTTTCATAAACTCACCAAAACTCAATGATTGTATAGCAAACAATCTCTTTTCCCCTTTTACTAACAGAATGTGTTTTATTTGGGTAGTTTCGCAGAGTCAGATCGATGCAAGTCAAGCTTTGTCAATGTCACTGACCAAACTAGACATTTTACTATGTTAAGCATGTTAAGAATGAACACAAATTTTCCCGTACTCAGTATGCATATTAACTTTGAGTACTGTAGGAATTAAGAATTGCATTACTCAGGATTAAGGATACATTTGTGGTTACTGTGCAAAAGCTAAAACAGAAAAATCTCCTTCTCCTGTTATTTTCACTTTTTAAAATCCTTCCTCAAGCTGTGGTTTCCTCACATTTTATTTGTCTGTTCTTTTTCAAATGCAAGCCTTCTTACAAATCCCCTTCTACTCCAAAGCCATACCTTCATTTTTCACTTAAAATGTGCATCTGAAGAAACACCTTTAGCTAAATTTTCTTTTGTGTATATATTTGTTCAATTTGCAAACTTCAAGCCAAGAACCATTTTCTATTTTTTCTATTGTCTGTCTTAAATACCAAGTTTTTGTTGAAGTTTTGTTGAATTTTGCAGCACAAATTACATTCAGTAAGCCAAATATGCAGAACATTGCTTAAACATTGAGATCTGTGATATACAGCGTAATTTAAGCAATTTAGTGAAAGCTCTAAAATGATTTTGCCTACTTAAAGCATTTCCCTTTATTCTGTATAATCTTTAAAAATCATAATTCATAACAGTGTCGAATTCTATTTATTTCTTAGCTTAAATGACCTAATCTACCTTCAGGAATATCTACGTCTGTCAGGGGTACCTGGAAAACCCAATACTTCAGATGTCAGCCATTATAATATTGCAACAAATTAAACCAGTAGATGGCAGTATCACTCAGCAAAATTTAAAGTTGATTTTTTTAGGCCTTTGTACAATAATCATAGTATCCTAAAACTTCCCCAATAGTATGAGCTGACAAAGGCCTTACTTAACCATAATCAATCTTTATTCTCTGATAGATTAAAATGGTTAAATATACTTGATTGTATCAAACTCAAGATAAAACTTTTTTTTTTTTAATAGGTTGAACATTTGTACCTTTGGCTTATTGCTATGTTTGGTGTTCATTTTATAAATATATAATTCTAGAGACACTTTACACATTTTTTAAACATTGAATTTCATAATTTAAATTACATTTCTGAAAATAGTGTTCTCGATTTAGAAAAAGTGTAGTTTAGCTATTTTATATGATTATAAGTGCTGCATACTGCTATATTAAACCCTCAGAAGCATGAGGGCTCTGATAGACTTTGCCTATATTATTGAAGTAAGTTACTAGGCTTTTTTTTTTTTTCTTTCTAGCTAACTTGTTTGCTCAGATAACTAACAATATACCTAGTCTTGTGGATCTCCTTGTCTTTACTGGCACTGCAATGCAGTTCATACTCTCATTTATCTTACTGGGCTAAGTAGCAGATGATGATTCATATAATTTCAAGAGATGAAATGCTAAAAGTAGAATAGGCTATTTTACATTGCAGATAATCATAAGTCTACATTATTAGGTTTTGTCTATTAAAATTACTTTAATTCTTACAATATATTTTAGAATATTGAATAGAAAAAATAAAGTTTCTATTAACATGTTTGGAATTTAATGTAGAAGAGCTCATATGAAGTAAATTAGAATTTGGAGTGGTTGATGTTATTTCACTTGTTCTGTTTCTCCAGTATTCTTAAGACAACTGACTGCGTAGTAACAAACTATTAGACTATTTCTTACATTTAATATCTTGGCTTTTTTAACGAAGGGCAAACAATTACAGCATTTATATGAAAATATACCTTTAGCTAGAAGCAATGTTTGTACCATATATTTAGAAGTAAAGATGTGACTATGAAACATAGTGAATTGCATAGGTCTAATGAGTCTGGTGAGTCAGTTGTTTAATGAAAATGAATCGAATTGAGTAAAGCTCCAAGTGTATCCACTGGAGTAAATGAATGTTCTAAATTCTGTAGAAAGCAACTGGAGTGTGTCACACAAGCATCCAAAGAAAACAGGTGGTGATTTCAGATTTCCCAGGTGAGGATTACAATCAAGTTGCAATTGTGGATCTCTCCTGTGTAAGAGCAAATACGGATTGTTCTTTAAAGTCATGCTCTGCTGGTGTTCTGTTTGCTGCAGACACTGCCTTTTCAAGCGATGTCTCGTTTACAGGCAGGTAAATTCATCCTTTTGCCAAGGACATTCGTAATTGTCAGAGCCTTTGCTGTTTTCTTTGACTGGGGTGAATCAGCTGTTTAACTAAACAGTGACTATACATGCTCACGCATTTCTTCTTTCTTCCCCAGCTGTACCTTTCTTTCATGTTTTATGAAATGCCCCCTGCTAATCAAAGCCAAACAGTGCATAATGGACTTTCGTGAAAGCTGAAATGTATTTATTTCAAGTGTGGAGCATTTGAGCAAGCTGTGATTTAATCTTTGCTATCTGTTTTTCCTTGTCAAGTGATTGGCAGGAGGAGGCAAGCACAATCCATTTTTCTGATTAATACACTGCCATGCACTTTGATTTCCTCCACATGAAGGTTACAAAGACTGCTGGTGCCATCAAGGAAAAGATGAGTTCTCATATAGGAAAATGTCAAATGCATCCTGTTTTGTGAAGATAGCTGAGGCCGTGAGGTTCAATGTAAGAATCAGGGCTTTGGAGTCAGAGAGGCCTGGGAATAGATTCAGCTCACCAACTTCTTTTTTTTTTTTTTTTTTTTTTTTTTTTTTGAGACAGAGTCTCGCTCTGTTGCCCAGGCTGGAGTGCAGTGGCGGGATCTCGGCTCACTGCAAGCTCCGCCTCCCGGGTTCACGCCATTCTCCTGCCTCAGCCTCCCAAGTAGCTGGGACTACAGGCGCCCGCCACTACGCCCGGCTAATTTTTTTGTATTTTTAGTAGAGACGGGGTTTCACCGTTTTAGCCGGGATGGTCTCGATCTCCTGACCTCGTGATCCGCCCGCCTCGGCCTCCCAAAGTGCTGGGATTACAGGCGTGAGCCACCGCGCCCGGCCTCAGCTCACCAACTTCTTTGCCTTAAACAGGTGCTTTACTACCTGGCATTACTCCATGGGCCACCCAACCCATCCTACCGGTATCATTTACCCACCTAAATCCTACCAGAATAACATTTTTGAGTCAGTACCAGTCTACAGATAAGTCTTACAGTCATGTTTGGCAGCATTTTCTGTTTCTCCTGGCAGTAAGGTGATACGTGTCTTTCAATGAATAGGATTGGTTTTCAATTCAATGAAATATTATAATCCTTATGAATTTCCATTTCATCACAGGAAAACAAATTTAGCAGTTCTTACTTCCAGCAGTTGTGTTAAGCATTGACTCTGGTGCATATATAAAGTAACTGGCAGATAATAGAAGTTCATTTATCATTAATCACACTCTTCCATCATTTTTCTAGTGTAATTACTGCAAAGGTTGTGAATAACAAATTGTTATAAGAAGGAACTTTTCTGTATTTTCACAAATGGAAATGAGCTATTTCATGGAATTAATGTGAGCTAATATTCAAAAATTTCCTTTCTTCTCTTAAATTACTCTTTAAGAGAAGGTAAGGGGACATTTAAAGGAAGGATATTTCTTTAATTTGTCAGTTTATTTTCCCTATGTACGTAAAGTTATTGATTATAGTATTTCCAGAGCTCATAAGTCAATCAGACGATTATCATTTAATACATTATTGATAATATATTATAAAATAATATTAAGCAGTTACTATATTTCCTAAAGGCACATGACCACTAGTTGTGTCTTAAGCAATTAACAAAATAGATTCTATTCATTATCGTAATATTGAATTGTTATTGACTCCCATGGTCAAGCAATTTAACATTATATACTCACTGTAACAGACTTAAAATGAGAATAAGGGCTTATTTAATTTGGGACTTAATGACTAAAAGGTAACCTGAATTTGAAAATATTTCACATTGCCAGTGTCTTCACATTATGAAGGTCTATGGGTTGAATAGGGTGTTGAGGTATAAACATTTCTTTGAAGTTGAGGTAAGGCAGATTGAATTATACACTTGTTGGAGTACTTGCAACGTGAACTTCTAAAGTTCATTTCAACTCCTGCTTATGTCTCACTTAAGCCCATATCTCCAAAACAATTAACCTCTTGAATGCAGAGAGCATGTCAGGGTGATTTTGGTTTATACGTGGATAAAGTAAGCACCTCTGTGATAAATGATTTATCTACTTTCTTAATTTTAAATAGAAGCAACCCTTTATGTAATTCTAAATAAATTTGCAAATTCAAGAAATCTGTTTTTAATATACTGGGATTAGGTTCTTCTAATATTTTTAATATTGGTGATAGTGATCCAACTAACAATTACTTCTTGGTAAAACATATATGGTTAGTAACAATACTATTTTTTTCTCAACTATTGTGTCTGCTAAACATTTTTTAAGTGTTTGGAATCCTAAGTACAAATTCATTTTGATATTAGACTATTTTTTTCTGTAGAACTGGGGATAAAACAGGAAGAGAAAGTATATGCTTGGTAACAATAGTTGTCTTTAAATGATAGGATTTTAGAGTAGCTCTTTGAAAAAAAATGCCTCAAAATAGCGCATCTTAGTTTGAAAGCTTAATCCTAAATAAATGAATTACATAAGATGGCTACATAACTGGAAAAAAGAGGGTGAAAAAAGAGGGGAAGTAAACAATTTCCTCCAAAACAAGCATTTAAATTAGGAAGAGATTACAAACAAAAACCCTAATCTAATTTGTATTAATTACATAATTTACAGTTTTCTTTTTTCTATATCTTCTCCTCCATTTCTGCTTTTTCTCTTTCTTTCTTTCTCTCCCTTATTGCATTAGCTCTTTGTTTAGATTTGGAAATTTGCTGATTCTTTATGAATATAATTTGTTCTTTTAATTCATGGGTGGCAGGTGGAACCCTTCAAAATAACCATTCAATTGAGTCAAAACAGGTATTTAAGGGGGTTTAAATTGCTAGACAAATGTAGGATATTAACTGCCTTATAATTCTGAACAGTTTAATTTATCTGACAGCATAAATGTTTGAAATGTTAATGTGCTTGACTTTCTTTTCTCTTTTTTTTAAATCCCTTTCTTTTCTCTATTGCTTAGTTTCTTTGATTTTTGTTGTTTTATTTTGCATTCATTAGTTCAAGAGGTTAGAGAAAAACAGAAGTCATCTCAACACTGGCCTGTTCAGATGCAAAATTAACCCCTCAGCCACCTTACACACACACACACACACACACACACACACACGCACACTCTCACGTCCATGTATATGTACATATACAGACATAGAACTTATCTCTATGGCATATGCGCACCTTAGAAAAGTAAAAATCTCACGTGAAGAGTCTAATGTTCCTTATTTCTATTTTTGTAGTAGAAAAGAATCAGTGGAAGTAAAGAAAAATAAGTACATTTTGTTCACAAGTCTGGTACTCATGGTGATTGACAAGATTTCAAATAAAGGGTACTGCATCTCAGATTGACTGCTACCCCTACAATGTTAGAAAATGATAAGGAAATGGCCACATCCCAATAGATAAGCCAATGTATAGAGAATGCATAACTCTCAGAAGTAACTGACAGTAACATAAATCTGAAAAAGATTCCAAAAGTACTGGATCTGAAATAGTACAAACAATGCTTGAAGTTGGTTAAGGAGTTACCAGTTACTTGTGAGAAGGAAGTTTGCTAATGCACACAGCTTGATTTAGTGATTTCATTCTGTGATATATATACCACAGAAAAATTCTTGTCCAATGTACAAAATTGTTCCAAGTAAAATAGTAGATAATAAAATTAACCTGGAAAATGTTGCTTAAAAAATAATGAATAAATAAGTTGTGGACTATCACCAGAATGTAACATTAGGTAGCAATCAAAATAAATGAACATAGATGCATAACTTAAATTAACAAGTATAATATTTAGCTAAAGATTATATAATAGAAGAATATAGCATTTAACTTTTAATATACATTTCAAAAACTAGCAAAATGAAAAATATATTGTAAAATATGTTGATTATATATTTATATGTACATATATGTGGGGTTTGTATGTATACATAGATAATATGTGTAGTAAAAATGAAAATAAAAGCAAAGAAAATGACAGCAATTTTTTTTTTTTTGAGACAGAGTCTCGCTCTGTTGCCCAGACTAGAGTGCAGTGGTGCAATCTCGGCTCACTGAAACCTCCACCTCCCGAGTTCGAGCAATTCTCCTGCCTCAGCCTCCCTAGTAGCCAAGATTACAGGCATGTGCCACCACACCCGGCTAATTTCTTTTTTTATTTTTAGTAGAGACAGGGTTTCACCATGTTGGCTAGGCTGCTCTTGAACTCCTGACTTCAGGTGATCCGCCCGCCTTGGCCTCCCAAAGTGCTGGGATTACAGGCATGAACCACCACGCCCAGCCAACAGCAAAAATTTTAAGACCTCTAGAGAGCAAAGCAAGGAACACCAGTGGGTTTCAAAGGTAAGTAAAATTCTCAAATTATCAATGTCGTTACTGAAAGTTGGAATTTGTGTTAGTAATTATTTTAGCTATCATATATATTACATATATTTTCGCATGCATGAAATGTAAGAAATATTTTAAAATAGAAATAAAAAAATAAGTAATATAAACCCCTTTAAAAATAAATATTATTGGGAGTAGTCATTTGCCCTTTATGGAAATAAAAATTGGAGTAACCTCTTCAAAACAAATTTGTCAGTATGTATATAAGAAATTCAAAATGTGTCTACCATTTGCCCCAGCATACCACTTCCAGAAATTTCTCCTAAAAATATACTTACGGGTGTGTGCAAGGTCGCAGTTATAAGGATGCTTTATCCCCTGTACTGTGATTTATGATAGCAGAAATTATGGCTAAAGCCAACGTTTGACAATTAGGGAACAATCATATAAATAAGGGTATGTCCACATAATAAATTTTGCCATAATTATTATAAATAAATAAAATAATGCTGCATGTCACTATTGTACATTTCAATGTCCACATTCTTTCCAAAGTTTTCACAGCATATTTAGTGCTCAAAGATGTTCCTTTACATTTTTGTAACTTCTTTGAAACACTTTTTTCAATTATAAAAGCTTTTATTATTTTTGCCAGGTTAATTTTAAATTTTGCTTTGTTTTAACTGACAAAATGTTGTATATATTTATTGCATAAAAATATAGTTTTAAAATATGTATACATTTTGCAATGGCCAAATTGAGCTAATTAACATATACATTACTTCACATAATTATTGATTGTGGTGAGAATACTTAAAATCTACTCTCTTAGCAATTTTCAAGAGTATAATACATGTTATTAATTATAGTCATTATAGTTATTTATACAATAGATCACTTGATCTTATTCTTCTTCACTAATGGAAATTGTGTATTATTTGACCATCTCCCCCAAAAGACAGGTACAAGTATTCCTTGTTTGTACTTAACTACTTATATATTTTTTCTATACCAGGGGCATATATAATGCCAATTATATGTCTTCTATTTGTTTCAATTTATCATTTAAAGTCTGTATATACATTTAAAACTTCTATTTAAAACACATTGCTTCAAATACAATTGCTTATTTTTATCACATATAGTAGGAATTACAAATAATGTATCATAAATGTTTCTAAGTGACTGAAAGGCACTGATGAGCTTTGGCATGTGAGCATCCTAAAAAATAATGCAATGCAATATCTCTTTACACCTTTGTAATAGGCATGCCTGAGAAAGCTGGATAATGCAGAGAGCTGGTTGTATGCAAGACAGGAAATCACTCCCACACTTCAGGTGGGCGGGTGAACTAGTGTAGTCCATTTGTAGATCAATTTGGAAAAGTCTAGTCAAATAAATATATGACCCAAACCTTCAATTCCTGGAAGTAGGAGCCAAAGGAATGTCTACATATAGAAGATTGTATTTTACATAGTATTAGGGAGTTGGAAGTGATCTGTGTTCATGGTTGGGTAGGGCATAGCAAAATGTGGTAAGAGCACAACATGATGCACTTGGCTATAGGTAGAATCAGTAAACTACATAAAGACATAGACATGTACTAAGTATGCAAACAAAAAGTAGATTAATCTTAGAATTTTAGAGCAGAGTAAAAAGAGTTGAATAAAAAACAAAAAATGTACACTTCCGCTTTCCTTCTAACTCACGTCCCAGATTAAGCTATTTTAACAATGAGACCCAAACGTTTGTTTGATATGCCCAAGGTTACCATAGTTATTATATTCTTTATTGGTCTATTTTTATACAATCTGCATGCTAACTAAGCATGGTTTTTAACTTTGTAAATGGTTGTTAAAGGAATGAAAGAAGCAGGAGGAGTAGAAAGGGGAGGATAGGAAGAAGGAAAAGAGGAAGTAGAGAAGAAAGGGAGAAAGACCATAAGTCTAAGATATTTACCATCTGAAACTCTAAGGAAAAATCTTGGCCGGTCTTTGCTATTAACAGTCATTCAGGGACCCATCTCCTTTGTCTTACTGCTCTGGGCTTCTCAATCTGCAGCAAGCATCAATATCACCCACCTATAAGGCTGTAAACCAGATTGCGGACCCCATCTCTGAATTTCTGACTCAGTAGGTCTGGTACACAGCCAGAGAATTCACAGTGCTGAAACTAACAGTTTCTGAGGTGAGACGGATGCTGTGTACCTGGGAAGAACACTCTGAGGACCAGTGCCTTGGAGCACTGCTGTTAACTTGCCTACTTGAAACCACATTACCCCCACATCTGGGTAGCACAGAGTAGGAAGTAAGAGAAACAACACATTTAGTATTCTGAGGCTCAGACCTGGAAGTGTTTCACATCACCCTGCTTTCATTCCACATGGACACACCAAGCTGCAGAAAATTCTGAAAAATGTAATTTATAATTCTATTACTATTGAATAAGGTGATGATGAATTTTGGTAGAAAATTAGCAATCTCTGCTACTGTAGTATTTACATAAATTAAAAGTGCATGAAAATGAAGTAAAAAATGCCCATTATAAAAGAACATATGGAAACAAAAACCTGCATATTAAATCATGAAATTGATTGCCTCTGTGGGAAGGGAAATGGGTGCTTTTGTGTGTGTGTGTGTGTGTGTGTGTGTGTGTGTGTGTGCATGTAATTTTCACAGACCAATCAATAATGTAAACTGAGTAAAATAATTCAATTATCTGTACTTGAGGTTAAAATAAAAAATCAGGGCTAGGCACTGTGGCTCACTCCTGTAATCCCAGCACTTTGAGAGGCCGAGCGGGGTAGATCATTCGAGACCAGCCTGGCCAACATGACAAAACCCCGTCTTTACTAAAAATACAAAAATTAGCCAGGAGTGGTGGTACATGCCTGTAGTCCCAGTTACTCAGGAGGCTGAGGCATGAACTGGGGAGGCACAGGTTGCAGTGAGCTGAGATCATGCCGCTGCACTCCAACATGGGTGAAAGAGCCAGATTTTGTCTCAGAAATAAATAAAATAAAATAAAATATCAGTCATCCTACAAATAAGCATGTATTTACTTCAGAAAAATACATATAAATTTGTCTTGGAAATTTAATTTATTTTTATACATTGATTATAACTTAATTACCTAAGTTTTTGAGTAATTATAGTACTTAATTTATTTAAAATTTGAAGAACCTGCCATGCGCAACATGAGAAACAAAGGCTGAATCAGTGCTTATTCAGACTTATTAAAAATGAAAACTAAAATGATTTGCTACTACAGCTCTTTGTCACAGAAAAAACAAAAGCCCATTTTGGTTCAAAGCCTATGATACTGCAAAGCTTCAGAAGATTTGGCAATTTCTCATCACTAAGAAATATAATAATAATAACGTAGCTGACATTTACCAAAAGCTTATAGTACAATGAGCATGCTGTACTAAGAGTTTTGCATGTACCTGCTTATTTAATCATTGAAATGACTGAATGAGATAGGTACTACTACAATCACCACTTTATGTACCAGGAAACTGAAGTACACACAATAAAATAAGCAAGATCGCTAGTTAGTATCTAAGAGCCAGGTTTGAAACTTCTGTTGTCCTTCTCTCTGAGCCTGCATTTTTCAGCCACTACCTTAAACTTTCTCTTTGTAGAAAGAGAACATTGTTAAACACTGTAATAATGAGGGAGCAGCACACACACCCAGTGTGTGCCACAAACACACAGAACATCATTAGTACATGAAATAAAATGTTTTGCTGTGATGTTTTCAGAGAAAGATAGGATAAAGTCACAGTCACAGAATTAGTAAGAATAGCTTCTATATTCTTCCTAGTCCTAAAATAAGCTCTGCTCTTCTGTGATGTACTAAGATAGAGAGAACTGTTGTTTAAATAGTGGAAATAATGTTATCTCTGTTGGTCAGAGGTGGCCGAATGACTTCTTTGAAGGTAAAACCTTGAAAATGAAGTTAAGTTGCTCAGAGATGAATTGACAGGTACTGATATCTGTTTGTATTTTCCACATTTTGAAGAGGAAAAGAGTGTTGCTGCTTTCTTATCTCCAAGGGGAGGAGAGGTTGATGGTGATTATTCCAATCCAGGGTTGGTGAACGACTGCCCTCTGGCCAAATCGGCCTGGCTGCCTATATATGCAAATGAAGCTGTATTGGACTCCAAGCACACTCAGAATTTAGATAGCAGGTATAGTTGATTTCCTGTAACTATGGTGTAGGGATTTTTCCTCAACCCCCAAAAGTTCATAGTTGGAACAGACCCTTATTACAGAAGACAGATTAACAAGAGAAAAACAAACAAGTGGCTGGGCATGGCGGCTCACACCTGTAATCCCAGCATTTTGGGAGGCCAAGGTGGGTGGATCACGAGGTCAGGAGATCGAGACCATCCTGGCTAACATGGTGAAACCCCGTCTCTACTAAAATACAAAAAATTAGCTGGGCGTGGTGGCAGGCACCTGTAGTCCCAGCTACTCGGGAGGCTGAGGCAGGAGAATGGTGTGAACCTGGGAGGCGGAACTTGCAGTGAGCCAAGATCATGCCACTGCACTCCAGCCTGGGTGACAGAGCGAGACTCCGTCTCGAAAACAAACAAACAAGTACATTAACACATATATTTCATATACACATGGGAGACACTCAGAGAATGAGTAGTTCTAAAAAGGTGGCTTTGAATTCCAACTTATATAGCATCTTCAACAATGAATAGTAAATTTTTAGAGAAGTAATAAGACAAAGGAAGAGGACTTCGAGTTTCCACAGGTGGTCACTTTGGGGAAGGGTAAATAAATGGCAGAGAAAGACTGCTTAGCAAAGCCTGTTAAGGTATATTCCTCTGGTACCATCTCCAGGTCCATAAGGGTCTACAGGTGTCATCACTGGTTAATTTTTGCTCTCCTTGGTTGAAGGGGGAAGGATACCTTTTCTTTGTAACTCTGTGTTCTGCTTTTAGGCAAATAGGGGAAGGACAGAAGCTTTCCTGAATCTGCTTCTTCTTAATTTCTTCAGCTCCACAATCCTTCATATTTGGGGGCAGCATATTCTAGCCTCCCACAATGGCAGGGTTGAAAGGCCTTCGGGACCAGATATATTTACTACATCAATGATTAGGAAAAAATTGCTAAACTGTATTTTAATTCAACAAAAGCAACTTGCCAAGATGAGGTTTGGGGAGCTCAAGTTTAAATCAGTCAGTGCTGACTAATGACACTCTTCTAGCCAATTGGATTAGGTTGAGAATGGGAATGTGACCTAATTCAGACAATGAGGCAAGAGGGACGTTTTCAAAGTGTGTATGGAAAATATTTCTCTAGCAGCATGTGGCAAAATGAATAGTGTCACTCCCAAATTATTGCTTGTCTGGAACTCAGAATATAATCTTAATTGGAAGTAGAATTTACGCAGATGTAATTAGTTAAATATGTTCGTAATAATATCCTGCCGGGTTTAGGGTGGGCCTTAAATTCAATGACTTGTGTCTTTATAAGAATAGGAGACAGCACAGAAACATACAGAGCAACGGTGTCAAAGCAAAAATTGCAGTGGTCAAAGTTAAGCAGGTGAGAAAAACTTTATTTGATTATATTACAATAGGGTAGAGAGGCTAAAACTCAGGCTGAGATCAAATCCACTGACAAAAATGGCAGATATTTTAAGAGCTGGGGTGAGGGGATTCTAGGCCATATGTTTTTGTTAATTAGCTTTACCCAAAGGAAAATAAACTTTCTTATCCTATCTTTTTGAAAATAAACTTTCTCATCCTATCTTCTTGAAAATAAACTTCCTCATCCTACCAATCTTCTTGACAGGAGGTAGTTTTACTACTTGGAGCAAGGTGCTCACTTTAGTTAGGCTCCTACTCTCCCAGATAGACCAATTTTCCTTGATAATTACATTTCAAAATATGGCTCTCAAGTATTTGAGAAAGATAACTCAGGATTTTAAAACTGTCTAGTGACTTTGAAAAAGATTTATATGTCAAAGAGGCAGAGAACAAATTTGCAATTGCATGTTTTCTAAAGTAAATGCTCTAAGAAAAGGGAGGAAGAGCAATCTCCCTGGTTAGGTCACCTGGATTCTGTAGGGGCCAGAGTAGGAGGGAGGTGAGGTCTTGGAGGCAGAAAGAAGACTGTCTAAGGTTTATTCAAGCTGAGGGAAACCCTGAGGCTGGCTTGAGCAAAGCCCATGTGTTGGCAGAGATAGGATTTACGCTGCCACAAACTAAGGATGCCAGGACCTACAAGAGGCATAGGAAGAATACTTCCTTAAAGCTTTCAGGGGGAGCATGGCTCTGCCAGAAACTTAATTTAGGCTTCTGGATGCTTGATCTGTGAGAGAATGCATTTCTGAAATTTTAAACCACCCAGTTTGTTGTGATAGGTGATGGCAGTCATAGAATATGAATATACTATGGGCCATAAGTCTTCTTTCTCCCCAAGTTTGGATGTAGCCCTGGAAGTAATTGGTAAAAATCTTACTTTGGGATTAATTACACCCACTGTGGAAACCTGAGAATTGAGAGAAATTGTCCTAGTAATATCGATGAAATGCAAAATCAAGTCAATATACATTGGGCCTCTATTTATCCATCTTGTTTTTTGAAGCAATAAATGCCATTTAGGTTGATGTAGTTTTGAGATGGAACCCTGTTACTTGCAAACAAAAACATCTTAATTGGTGTATGCACTGCACAACTCGGGAGAGCAGCCCCACATAGATTACAGTGTGAATGGCACTTTCTGGAATTATTCAAAGCTGCAATTCTACCTACTTCCTTATGGTCATTTTGCATCCTTCAACATTATACCAAGCAAAACAGTTTGAATGCTCTGTGAGTCTCGGGGTTACCACTACTACCTTTTGGGAGATATACTGTGAGAATTAAATAGCAGCATATATGAATTATTTTGTAAATTATTTCATGTTTTAGAAACTTTAATTTGTAAAATGTATATAATAATATGTACTTTGCATAGTTATAAGGATTACATGTGAAAGGAAAAATAAAATCACACATTATGTCACATATTAAAAAGTAATAGATTTACTAAGAATCTAAAATTTGCTGGTGCTGTTACTATGACAATGACCACAGCAGTTTCTCCTCCTCCTCTTACTGAAGTTATAAAATCATTGCAGGCTCTACAAACAAAAGAGGCTATAGTTGTATGAAAGAACACATCTGTAGCACAGCACTTTATTCACTTCAATACTGTAATCATCAAATCCGAGTACAAAACACATTTATACATTTTTTGATGAAAAATTTGCTTAGAAAAAAGCTAATATGTAATAAGTGGGCAAATGTGACCTTGAGAAAGCAAATAATGAACTCATATCAATCTAATCATATTTAAGAGGAGCAAATGGAAAATCTTACTTTTACAAAATAATGTACAATTTTGGAGGAATTACAATACTTGATTTATGAGGCCTATTAGACACTATACAAATGAAGACAATAAAGAAGAGACTGGCCTAAAAATTGACAAATAGATCAAACAAAGTAAATATACAGCTCAGAAATTGACCCACCTGTGTAACATAAAAATAAAATTCTAACCGATCACCCAAACTGACTAAATGGACCCCTTCTTGGCCAAGGAGATTGCAAAACAACTTGTAAACCAAAATTAAAATTCTAAGCTCCCCCAACCATCTGAATGGATGCCTCTCAGGCAAGAGCATTCCAAAGTTAACCTGAAAATCTAGTTCAGGCCATGATGGGAAGTTGGGGATGGACATGCCTCATTACCGTTAACATCAACACAGACCTTGATAAGACTGATAGAACAGCCTCTTTAAGTCTGATAAGAAACGTTTACAATCTATTCTCTCTGAAGCCTGCTACCTGGAGGCTTCATCTGCATGATGAAACATTGGTCTCCACAACCTCTTATCATAACCCAGGCATTCCTTTCTATTGATTCCAGGCCTTTAGATAATAACCAATTGCCAATCAGAAAATCTTTGAATCTGACTATGACCTGGAAACCTCCCACCCCACCCATCAGTTCCTGTTGTCTTGCTCTTCTGGACAAATTCAATGTACATCTTACATGTATTCATTGATGTCTTATATTTCCCTAAAACAAATAAAACCAAACTGCAGCCTGACCACATTGGGCACAAGTCCCATGTCATCAGGATGAGGCTGTGTCACAGGCATGTTCTTAACCTTGGCAAAATAAACTTCTAGATTGATTCAGTCTTACCTCATATCCCTTTGGTTTACAAAGCTTAAAAACAGAATTCTCAGTCATGATGGGAAGGGAAGTTGGACACGCCTAATTATACCACTCCCTTTTGAAGTTTAAGCACAACAGCTGACCAGCAATAATGTTAAACTAGAGATTATAATACTGACAAAATAGACTCTTTGGGGCGATAAGATACCAAATTATAAAGAAGACCTAAGGTCATGCCAGGCAAAAGTTAAGTCTCACCTGCAGGCCATCTATCTTGCTAAATAGCATCTTCATCTTAACTAAACCATTCGTTTCTGTTGATTCCAAGTTTCAGGCACAGCTTTATTCCTTTAACCAATTGCAATAAACGAATCTCTGAATCCACCTGTAGCCTATAAGCCCTCATTTCGAGGTATTCTTCCTTTTGGGGCCAAACTAGTTACACCTTCCATGAGTTGATTTTTGTCTTTGTCCGTAACTCCTGCCTGCCGAAAAGATGTTAAACCAAACCATGATCTGACCACTTCAGGGCCACTTACTCAAAGCTTCTTGAGTTTGTGTTTTCTCTAGGTCCTGGTCATGCATATTGACTCAGAATAAAGCTCTTTAAAAATTTTACAGAGTTTGGTTTTTCTGCTAACATATATATGCATTCATATGACACTTTTAAAATGAGACAAAGTAATCCAATGGGGATAGGATGCTTTTTCAACCAACGGTGTTGGAATGTCTCAAACCCACACGAAAAAAAATACTGTATTTGACTTTATACACCAAATTTAATTCAAAATGAAGCATAGATCCAAATGCAAATGCTAAAATTATAAAACTTCAGAGAAAAGCACAGAAGGTATCTGGTCATGGCAATAGGTGAAGGTTTCTTACGTTAGTCATGGAAAGCAGCACTCAAAAAGGACAAAATAGTTAAATTAGGCTTCATTAATATTAAAATATCTGTTTATTGCCAGGTACGGTGGCTCACGCCTGTAATCCCAACACTTTGGGAGGCTGAGGCAGGTGGATCACCCTGAGGTTAAGAGTTCAAGACCAGCCTGGCCAACATGGTGAAACCCCATCTCTTCTAAAAACTACAAAAATTAGCAGGCACCTGTAATCCCAGCTACTCAGGAGTTTGAGGCAGGGAGAATCGCTTGAACCCGGGAGGCAGAGGTTGCAGTGAGCTAAGATCACACCACTGCACTCCAGCCTGGACGACAGAGTAAGACTCCATCTCAAAAAGAAAAATTGTTTATTAAAAGACCCAATTAGGAAAAAGATTTGGCAAGACACAAACTGGAAGAAAATTTTTAGAAAACACATATGGCTTAAAAACATATATTTAAGAAATAACTGATAGCCGTAATGTGTAAAAAAATCATTTTCACTAAGTGATAAAAAGATAAACTACCAAATGTTAAAAAAAAATGAGTTGAATAGAAACTTCACAAAACAAATAAGATACATAGATACAAAAGGCCAAGAAGCACATGAAAAAATTTTAATATCTTCAGGCGTCAGGAAAATACAAATTATAGTCACAAAATAATACTAGCTCACATCCACCAGAAGAAAATAAAAAAACTCATGGCACTTTTTTTTTTGCTATTCAGTGGACTCTTTTTGTGAAACAATGCAGGAATGTAAAATATATAGCCCCTTTGGAAAAAAGTTCTGCCAACATTCTTTAAAACTAATTATTGTTGTTCCTGGTACAATGCAAAGAATTGGTAGAAATGTAAAATGTACAGCCCCTGTGGGAAAAAAGCTCTGCCCAATTTCCTTTAAAGCTAATTGTATATTTACTCTACATTCCAGAAATTTTATTCCTTGGCATTTAGCCAATGAAAATGAAAACATATTTTTACAAAAAGAATTTGTACCAAAATTCAAAGCAAATGTATTTTTAAAAAGACAAAAAAAACCCCACAAATTTTAACTATGAATTGTAGAAGAATGGATAAGTAAGATGAATTAATTTATGATTTGAGATATGTTAAATAGACATGCAATAAAGCATCTATAACAAAAATATCTTGATGGTAGTTACATGGGTTTTCATTTTTAAATCCTTTGTTTATTTATTTATTTATTTATTTTTGAGATGGAGCCTCACTCTGTCACCCAGGCTGGAGTGCAATGGCTTGATCTCGGCGCGACCTCCACCTCCCAGGTTTAAGTGATTCTTCTGCCTCAGCCTCCCAAGTAGCTGGGATTACAGGTGCCCACCACCATGCCTGGCTAATTTTTGCATTTTTAATAGAGATGGGGTTTCACCATGTTGGTCAGGCTGGTCTCGAACTCCTGACCTCAGGTGATCCACCTGCCTTGGCTCCCAAAGCACTGGGATTACAGGGGTGAGCCACCGCACCAGGCCTCATTTTTAAATTCTTTAATCATTGCTGTATAAGTTTTTATTATAAACTAATAGTGAGAAAACTGCCAGGTGCAGTGGCTCACGCCTGTAATCCTAGCACTTTGGGAGGCCGAGGTGGGTGGATCACCTGAGGTCAGGAGTTCGAGACCAGCCTGGCCAATGTGGTGAAACTCCATCTCTACCAAAAATTAGCAGGGCATGGTCGTGGGTGCCTACAATCCCAGCTACTCAGGAGGGTGAGGCAGGAGAATTGCTTGAACCTGGGAGGCAGAGGTTGCAGTGAGCAGAGATCATGCCACTGCATTCCAGCCTGGGCAACAGAGCAAAACTCTGTCCCCCCCTCCCAAAAAAATAATAAATAAAAATAAAATATTTGGGAGAAAGCTGTTCAAAAGACGAATAGCCCACTTCTGATAGCCACATATAACATGCAAAATTGGAACACTCCAAAGGGTGATCTTATGAGTTGGATGGATGAGGGGTAAGGAAGGGTCACTGATAAACAGGACCAAGGGCTTCATAAAAGGTCCTTAGTGAAATCATAAAGCAGCTTACAGCGGTGGGTGGGTGGCATAAATAGAAGAGGTCAATAAAATAGAGCACCTAGGAGTTTAGTGTGCTCATTTGGGGGAAGCAACATATTAAATCATCTTCAGCTGCAGTGTAGAGGAACAAGAAAGATAGTTAAGTATTAATTTCACAAATACTGGATAAAAGTATTCACATATATAGTGTAAAATATATACGTTGCTCTTTCCTTCACTCAGATGTTAAGAAGGTTCTTTGGGTGTCCTGCTTGGCACCTGGGTGTTTGCCTTTCACATTTGTGTGTTGAGTGCCTCTGTGAAATGCAAGAAGTTTAAAGAGGCTACATTGATTTTCGTTAGTAAGATTCTCTTTTTTTTCTCCCCAAATCCACCAATTGCTTCTAATTTCACTTACATAAAGTCTAAAGCCTTAAAATACCTAGAAAGATCTGGTCTCTGTGAGTGATCTTGCTCACCTCATGTCTTGCTGCTTTTCTTCTCACCTACTGCATTACAACAAATAGTCTCCTTGCCACTCCTGGAGAAATGGAAGGCCTTCTGCTGCCTTGGAAACTTTTCATTTACTGCTGCCTTCACCTGAAATTATTCTCCTCAGATACATCAGTCACTAAATTGTTTATTTCCTACAGGTCATTAATGTAATACTACCTTATGCGTCAAGCCTTCTCCAGCCACACTATCTAAAAACTGCAATCTTCACTTCTCTGTTACTACTCCATTCCCATATTTAATTTTCTAACACCTAGAGCAATATAATTTACTCTATATTTTGCTAACCAAAATTCCTATTTGCCTTTCTCTTGCATTACATTTTAAACTACATTAGGATATATAATTTTCCTTGTTAGTGTTCACTGGTAATCTTGAGCACTGAGCAAAGTGCAGTTCATATAACTGATGCTTGATAAACAATTATTTTTTGAAATAGTGATACATGAGTGGAATGTTTATAATTACTAATATTTTAGCACATATTATATACGACTTTTTTATTCTAAGTGTATTGCAAGGTAACTCATGGAATTCTCACAACGACTCTATAAGGTAGATATTATCGTCCCTATTTTATAAATAAGGAAACTTACGTAGTAATAATTTCAATAACTTTCTCAGGGTTAAAATAGCTAGTATGTAATGAAAGCTAATTTGTAATACAGAGTAGAAATAAAGGGGAGTCATCTTAAGATTGAACTTTTTAGGCATAAGAGAAAAAAGATAAATTCTAGGGACCCGTGCTGTGATCTGAGAGACTTTGAGAGGTAGGTATAAGATATTGAGATGTTTTTAGGTTTGTTTTCTTTGATATATGATATGGAAATAATGTTGCTGCCTCTATAAATATTGCAGCAAAATTTACATAAATTTAAAGCTATTTGACTCATATTTATGACTGTTGAAAATAAGATTTAGCTTACAATTTATTTGGGTTATATGTAAATATAATCTTTATTAAATGTAAGGGGTCAGGCTGTAGTAGGTGGGCCATTGCTCAAAACATTTCAATAAGGGTGCAGAGCAGGATGTATAACTTAAGAGCTTCATTAATTCATTTGAAGCTTGGATCTGTAAAATAAAATCTATGGTCAAACTTTATAATTTTATGAAAGAAAGATATATATGTCCATATTAGTATATTATAATTTATATTGTAATTTGTATTTTAAAAATTATATTAGGTCTTGTCTCACGTTATTTAACATACTTTATGCATATGGCATTTTATATTAAGCACAAGTATAAATTTATATTACTTCATAGTGTCACTGTAAAGTTAAAATCCTAGAATTGCCTTTCCAAATCTATTTTGTGCCATGAAAATACAGAATGAACTATTGACCATTCTTCTGCTGCAGAATATTCAGAAGATTTCATTTTTAACATGAAAAACATATGCATCAGTTGACATTTCTAATTAATTTTATCTTCAAATGTCAATAAACTAAATTAACAAAGAGTAGTATCATGACAAGTAAAGTCATAATCATTTAGCAATATTTTTAATTCTACATTTAGGATGGAAATATTAAAGATTTTTGAACAGATTCTTTTATATTTTCTTGTAATTTCTCTTCCCTTGAACACATCAAGACTAAAGCTTTAAAACTTTCATTTACTTTGATTTCTAAGATTCAAACTTCATTTCTACAGAGATAGAAATTGCAAGTTTGGCTGGTAGCTAGTAACCAGGTGTTAGCTATTCACTTTTTTGTTTCTGCCAAAAAGCTAGAAGCAATAAAATGAAATGTCTGTTTGCAGGGGAGAACTTATAAATTCAATCACAGGGTAACACTATCAAATTGAAAATCTATTTTTAAAAACTCAAATATCTATGGTAATATTTTGGTAATGTAACTTCCTGTTGTACACACATCAGAAATTTTCAGACTTCCTATTCTGTGTTTGATGTTACATTAAAAGACATGGCTCAAATAAGGATATTTTTTAAAATTAAATATAAAAACTCAATTTAAAAAATTGGTTTATTTGGAAGAAATTTGTGTAGTATATGAAAAGGTAATTGTTCTGTTAAACACTTAAAACATTTTGTGTTTAATATTTCAAATAGTCTTGTTTCATAATTCTCAAATATCAGTTACTCTTAGGGTATCACTATCAGAGGTCACAAGATGATCTGTAGACACAGTGGGATGTCTTGTAACAAATCAATTGCTAAAAACAGATAATTTAAATCACAGCATGTTGAATTATGATCTCTGTCCTTACAGGTTTTGAGTTACAAGTGCAAACAACAATTGATATCTTTTAATAACTCTTCATACAATAATGCCCTATTTTTAAATAACTGTACCTATGTGAGGCTAAATAGCAGGATGAGTTATACATAGTAATTATTTCAATACATATCTCATATTTGAATTTGGCTAATTTTTGGCTAGTTACCCATTGGATATATATGCAACCTAATTTATTGTTATCAATAATTATTCACAATCATTATATCAATTATTAGACAAAAAATTAAGGTACTTTAATTTATAGGACTTGCCATTTGAACTCTACTTCCAAGTCATCATCAACTGCCCATGGTACTTGGTAATTAGAATGTAGTTGCTTTCTTTCCCATCAAACCAATCCCATCAAAACTATATCTGACTATGTTAAATGGATTTCTTCATGAAGAAATAAAAATCAGAGTGATTTCCCTTTGACTCTATTTTGGGTCTGTTTACAACACCATCAATGATATCAGTCAATAAACAATGACTAAATCACAAAAATACCTGTTAAACAACTAAAGACTAAAACCAACTAAGGACTGAAGTAGATTTCCCTATAGTTGAAAATGACAGAAGCTAAGAAATTGCATAATCTTTCCAGAAAATGAAATACTAGAATGAACTCTAGAGTAAGTGTGAGCCTGGATCCATTATTAATATAGCCATCAAAGGGCTTCATTGGGCTCTGGTATTTTAGCTATTTCCTTTCTCTAGCTCATATAAATAATATTGTTTTCTTCTGTGGCTTTAGTGAGAACACCAAGGTGTTACAATAGCATGCATGTGCATCTAGCATTGACTACTTCCTATTCCAGACCTAAATTTGTCACAGCCAGCTGGGCCATTTCATTGAATATCCAAAGGCAATATTGAAAGTAACATATATAAAACTGCATTAATTAACTATTCTCACAAGTAGTTCTCCTTCTGAGTTATCTTTCCTGCTGTTGCTAATATTTTATTACTGTTGCATAACGTGGAAACATCTGAATAATATCTGCCTGTCCTCTCCCAAACTCCTTGTAGACACTTATAGTGACTCCTTATAGTCACAAATCCTATTCATTAGCTCATGCTTACATCATCTTAATGCAAATGGCAACTTCTTTCAGAAGATATAGAATGCTGGAGAATGTAGCAAACTGAGTCATTAATCCTCAATTGTATCTGGAAATAAAATGGTTTTGGAAAACATTAACAGAAGAAAGGTAGCAGTTATTCAGGCAACCTATTTATTCCCCATTTTCATTCCCACCTTCTCCCTCAGCAGAAATACATCTACACACACATCACATGCACATAAACATCTACATACACACACATATCCACCCTCACATATGCACATAAACTCACAATCCAAAAGAGAACTATTCTAGAGATGTTTTATATTCACAAATTTAACAAATATGAGTATCTCTCTTATGCCAGGCATTGTCCTGACACAAGGAATATGAGCTTTTGATGAAACAGCAGTGATTCTACCATCATGAAGCTTATTTCCTTCATGGTCTGCTAGGCAAAACAAACTTTAAAAGGCAAATAGTAAATGATAGTTTTCAAGTTGTAACGTGTTCTTTGGATAAAGCACACATGGGAAGAGATAGATAATGATATAGAAGGAAGATGGTTTCTTTTACAATTTTTCAGAAGTGACAATTAAGATAAAACTTGAAAGGTAAAAAGAAATAATAGAAGCAAAGAGTGTGAAAGAAGCATTCCATGCAAAACTGCAAATATGCCCAAAGCTTCTACCATAGGAATGAGCTTGTCATGTTCATAAATAAATAAATAAGCTGAAATAAAAGTAGGTGATATGGTTTGGGTCTCTGTCCCCACCCAAATTTCAAGTTCAATTGCAGTCCCCAGGGTTGGAGGTAGGGCCTCATGGGAGGTGACTGAATCATGGTGGAGGGTTCTCATGAATGGGTTAACACCATCTCCTTGGTACTGCTCTTGTAACAGTAAGTGAGTTACCATAAGCGCTGGTTGTTTAAAAGTGTGTGGCACCTCCCCCCTCTTTATCTCTTCCTCGCACTCTGGCATGTAATATGTACCTGCTTTCCCTTCAACTTCCATAATTGTAAGTTTCCAGAGGCTTCCCCACAAGCAGAAGCTACCATGCTTTCTGTACAGTCTGCAAAACCATGAGACAATTAAATCTATTTTCTTTATAAATTACCCGGTCTCAGGTATTTCTTTTTAGCAGTGCAAGAATGGACTAATACAAAATATTGGTACTGAGAAGTGGGGCATTGCTAGAAAGATACCTGAAAATGAGGAACAGCATTAGAATTGGGTAACTGGCAGAGTGTGGAATGATTTGGAAGGGTCAAAAAAGACAGGAAGATGAGGAAAAGTTTGGAATTTCCTAGAGACTTGTTGAATGATTGTGACCAAATTCTGACAGTGATTTGAAAAGTGAAGTCCAGGCTGAGGAATTCTCAGGTGGAGATGAAAAACATACTGGGAACTGGAACAAAAGTCACTTCTGTTATGCATTAGTAAAGAGCTTGGTTGGATTGTGGTCCTGCCCTATGGATCTGTGAAACTTTGAACTTGAGAATGATGATTTAGAGTATCTGGCTGTATTAGCATGTTTTCATGCTGCTAATAAAGACATACTCAAGACTGAGTAATGTATATTATAAAGAAAAGAGTTTAAATTGATTCACAGTTCCACATGGCTAGGGAGTTCTCACAATCATGGCAGAAAGTGAATGAGAAGCAAAGTCACATCTCACATGGTGGCAGGTAAGAGAGCGTATGGTGGGGAACTCCATTTATAAAACCATAAGATTTCATGAGACTTATTCACTACCATGAGAACAGTATGGGGGAAACTGCCCCATTATTCAACTGTCTCCACCTGGCCCCACCCTTGACACATGGAGATTATTACAATTCAAGGTGAGATTTGGGTGGGGACACAGAGCCAAACCATATCATTCCACTCCTGGCCCCTCTCAAATCTCATGTCCTCACATTTCAAAATCAATCATGTCCTTCCAATCGTCCCCCAAAGTCTTAACTCATTCCAGCATTACATCAAAAGTCCAAGTCCAAAGTCTCATCTGAGACAAGGCAAGTCCCTTCCACCTATGAGTCTGTAAATGCAAAGGCAAGTTAGTTATTTCCTAGATACAGTGGGACTACAGGCATTGGGGAAATACATCCATTCCAAATGGGAGAAATTGGTCAAAATGAAGGGGCTGCAGGTCCCATGTGAGACTGAAATCCAGTGGGACAGCCAAATCTTAATATTCTAAAATGATCTCCTTTGACTTCATGTCTGACATCCAGGTTATGCCGATGCAAGAGGTGGACTCTCATGGCCTTGGGAAGCTCCACCCCTGTGGTTTTGTAGGGTATAGCCCCCCTCCCAGCTGCTTTCACTGGCTGGTATTGAGTGGCTGTAGCTTTTCCAGGTGCACAGTACAAGCTGTCAGCGGATCTACCATTTTGGTGTCTGGAGGATGGTAGCCCCCTTCTCACAGCTCCACTAGGCAGTGCCCCAGTAGGGATATTTTGTGGGGGCTCCAACCCCATATTTCCCTTCTGCATTGCCCTAGAAGAGGTTCTACTTGCGGGTTCCCCCCCTGAAGCAAACTTCTGCCTGGACATCCAGGCATTTCCATACATCTTCTGACATCCCAAACCTCAGTACTTGACTTCTGTGCATTTGCAGACTCAACACCATGTGTAAGCCTCCAAGGCTTTGGGCTTGCACCCTCTGAAGCCATGGCCTGAGCTACACATTATCCCCTTTTGGCCATGGTTGGGATGCAGAGCACCAAATCCTGAGATTGCACACAGCAGGGTGGGCCTGGACCTGGCCCAGGAAACATTTTTTCCTACTAGGCCTCTAAGCCTGTGATAGGGAGCCTACCATGAAGACTTCTGACATGCCCTGGAGACATTTTCCCCATTGTCTAGGTGATTAACATTTGGCTCCTCATTGCTTATGCAAATTTCAGCCTGTTTGAATTTCTCCTCAGAAAATGGGTTTTTCTTTTCTATTGCATTGTCAGGCTGCAAATTTTCCAAAGTTTTATGCTCTGCTTCCCTTTTAAACATAAGTTCCAATTACAAACAATATCTTTGCGAATACATAAAACTGAATGTTTTTAAGAGCACTCAAGTCACCTCTTGAATGCTTCTATACTTAGAAATTTCTTCTGCCAGATGCCCTAAATCATCTCCCTCAAGTTCCAAGTTCCACAGACATCTAGTGCAGGGGTAAAATGCTGCCAGTCTCTTTGCTAAAGCATAGCAAGAGTTACCTTTATTCCAGTTCCTAACAAGTTCCTCATCTCCATCTGAGGCCATCTCAGGCTGGATTTCATTGTCTATATCACTCTCAGCATTTTGGTCAAAGCCATTCAACAAGTGTCTAGGAAGTTCCAAACTTTCCCACATTTTCCTGTCTTCTTCTGAGCCTTTCAAACTGTTCCAGCCTCTGCCTGTTACCCAGTTCCAAAGTCACTTGCACATTTTCAGGTATCTTTACAGCAGCGCCCCACGACCTGGTACCAATTTACTGTATTGGTCCATTCTCATGCTGCCAATAAAGATATCCAAAACTGGGTAATTTATAAAGAAAAGAAGTTTAATTGACTCACAGTTCTGCAGAGCTGGAGAGTCCTCAGGAAACTTACAATTATGGTGGAAGGGCAAACAAACACATTCTTCTTCTCATGGTGGCAGGAAGGGGAAGTGCCGAGCAGAGAGAAAAGCCCCTTCTAAAACCATCAGATCTCATAGGAACTCACTCACTATCACAAAAATAGCAGGAGGGTAACTGTCCCCATGATTCAATTACCTCTTACTGGGTCCCTCCACGACACATGGGGATTATGGGAACTGCAATTCAAGATGAGATTTGGATAGGGAGACACAGCCAAACCATATCAAAGTCTCTAGTAAGTTCCAAACTTTCTCACATTTTATGTCTTCTTCTGAGCTCTCCAAACTGTTCCAACCTCTGCCTGTTAGCCAGTTCCAAAGTCACTTCCACATTTTCAGGATCTTTACAGCAGTGTCCCACTAGCTGGTACCTATTTACTGTATTAGTCTGTTCTCATTCTGCTATGAAGAAATAGCCAAGACTGAGTAATTTATAAAGGAAAGATATTTAATTGATTCACAGTTCAGCATGGCTGTGGAGGCCTCAGGAAACTTACAATCCTGGCTAAAGGCACCTCTTCACAGGGTGACAGGAGAGAGAATGAGTGTCAAGTGAAGGGAGAAGCCCCTTATAAAACCATCAGATCTTGTGAGAACTCACTCACTATAATGAGAACATCATGGGGGGAACCACTACCACCATTCAATTATCTCCACTAGGTCCCACCCCTGACTTGTGGGGATTATTACAATTCGACGTGAGATTTGGGTGTGGACACAGATCCAAACGGTATCACTGGGGATTGTTTATAGGGGTGTATGTGTGTTTGTGTGTGTGTGTGAATGCCTAGGGGAAGACAGTTGGTGTATGTATGCACGTTAGTTTGCTAGGGTTGCAATAACAAATACCAGGAACTGTGTCTGAACAAATATTTATTTTCTCAGAGTTCTGGAGGATAGATGTCTAAGTCAAAGTGCTATCAGGGTTGATTTTAATTCTAAGGACATCTTCCTTGGCTTGTAGATGGCTGTTTTCTTCCTATGTTTTCACATGGTCTTCCTTGTGTGTGTGTCTGTATCCAAATCTCCTCTTATAATAACACCAACCATATCACATTAGGGCCTACCTATATGGCCCCACTTTACATTAGTTAACTTTTTAAGGTAATATACCTTTAATATACCTCATATATTCAAATATAGTCAAATTCTGAGGTGTTAGAGGTTGGGACATCAATGTATCAATTTTAGGGGACAAAATTTAGCCTAAACAGTATGTACTGGATATGTACACGTTATGTAGATAAGTATAAGTGTTTATGTGTGTGTGCTGTTTGTATGCGGAAGGAAATAGGTATATTTGTGTATGTATGTATGATTAGGTACGTGCATGTGTATGCTTGGGTGTGATTTGTACATGTATGCACATACGGCAACTTGGAATGGCAAAAGTTGAGACTGGAGGGACATGTAGAATTTCTGTGATATAACCCAGGAACATATAGTTTTAAAGAGTTCTCAAATTGATTCTTATACACAATGGTTTGGGGCACACTAAGATTTAGAGAACAAGTAGAGGACTAAACCTTTGATATAAGATAGGAGTTGTGGAACCTTGTCCATTACAAGGGAGAGTAGGGGAAAATGCATAAAGGATGCATAGGCTTTTGTATTTGGCGGTAGTAAGAAGGTGCCTCATCTGCTGGCTTCCCTTTTTAAAGTGAATTAGGCAATGATGTTATCAGACATGAGTGAAAAAAGAGGAGGAATATAGGTAGAAAAATTTTTAGAATGGTAGAATGGAGGATAAAATAGTAAGCAGATAGTATTTGAGGGAGTATGAAAGCAAATATAACTGAAAAATATATGAGAGTTGCTGTGAAATAACTGATGTCAATTTATATCATAAATTTATAAATGAAACCAATAGACATTTATGTTTTTTCTCCAGCAAATTTCAGAAGAAGAGGCTATGAGTGTTAGAATTCAAAAAGCTTGGGGTCTTGTAGGGTGAATAAAAAGAAAGGAAAGATAAAGATGGTGGGGAGGATATTTACAAAAAAAGTAATAATAATAATGGGCTGGGGAATTTCTACCAGAAAAGATGACATTGAAGCCAAGCTGATTTGGGGATTAATTTTGCAGTCTCTCTCTTCACAGCTGTGGTACCTTGCTGCCACGATTTTCAGAAATGGTGTTAGCTGACATGATTATCTGGTCATGTGTCTCCAGGTTTTTCCCAGACTTCCAAAGAATCATTGGTCTTTGTAGCACTATAAACTACTCCCAGACTTCACAGTGTTTCCTTTTGGAATATGTTATGTACTGTTTGGCACTGCATTTTTTTTCAATGTAGTACACACACACACACACACACACACACACACATTAAGCTAATATTCATAACTGTAGATGGCAATGTGACTAAAAGAAAATGCATACATATAAAGGGAAGTTGAATATAAGCTAGCAAAAAAAAAAATAATCACATGGACTTAACATTAGGTTTATTACTATGATCTTGGCACTGTAAAAAAGCCCTATAAATTTTGAAGTAATATTTTTATCCTTATGTTTTTCAGATAAGGCCATGAATAATTAGAGTTGAATCAATTTGTCCAAGATTACATCCGTAGCAAATGGTAGCTGAAATTTAGATCTTATCTATCTACTTTAAAAATCTAGATTTTAAAAAATAATTATTCTACTATTTCCTGGTACCATTCACACATACCCTAAAACAATATAAATATAACTTCCATATTTATATAGTGCTGCTTCACAATTTCTCATATTATGCTCTGTACACATAAATTTAACGTGTTTCACTCCCAGAAGTAAATCATTCCTTTAAGAAATGTTCATAAAAAGTTAATATTTTCCTAGCTTGCTTCCTCCGAGTACAAGAATCAGATAAACTTTTCCTTGTTCATATATTGGCTTAGAATAATTTGTTTTGGGGGATTTTGATTGAGAAATTTATTATTAAAAAGGAGATTACTCCACCATGACTGATAATATCCTATGGAATGGAAATTACATATAATTTATGATATAGGTAATTATTTTATTGTTTGCATACGATACTCACTAGGAGTCGTGAATAATGTTTTAATTCTTTCTATGCAAACAACTTGTTGAGGATCCTCATCTTGATCTGTGTACTTATCCAATCTAGAATTCTCCAATTTCTTATTTTCTATGTGTCCTATACTTAATTTTCTTTGTAGTCATTTTATTATATTATAATTCACAGTACATTCTCAGAAAAAATTCTGCTTACTTTTCCTTAGGGAAAGCAAATCCAAGACACTTTCTGTTTATAATGTACACAAATCCAGTCTTAAATAATGATATTTGAAGATTTGGCAGTTTGCTTCCTTTTTATACAGCAATCAAATTACTGACCTTTTGCCAGTAATTTGTTAGCTACAGAATTATTTTCTCCTACTTATTTTTAAAAGTTGGCTCTATGTTTGTTATTTTGAAAAAATAAAAATAATTGCCGCTCTGGCTGAATAAAAATAATAAAAATGGCACAGTGCTCTACCTTTCATTCTCCTCTTCCTCACCCCACTTTCCCCTGCTCCTCCTTCACCTCTTTCTTCTTTACCATGTTATATGCACTCTCTGATGGCTTAAAAATTATTTGGTGTAGTGCTTCAATCAGGATCCCATCTGAGAAGTAGAATCACAGCAACATTAGGGATATATGCAACATATAGCAAATAATGGCCTTATATAACTGTAGGGTTGACTAAGCAATTCTGGTCTTCAGCTTAGGCAGTCAGGGAGGGAAGTTGAGCAGGCTAGACCCCCACATGTTCTGAAAGTTGACCATGGGCAACAGTCAGAAGAGAAGATTCAGGGCTGGGGCCCAGGGGTTGGGGCAATTACAATGCCAGGGGCTATTCAGAGTCTTTCCCTCAGGCAAGGCCTAAGACCTTTTGAATTGAACTTCCAACTGCTTATGTCAGTTCCCTCCTCCCCCTGCCTCCAGCATAGTCCTCCTTTTGACTAACTTGAAATCACTAATTAGGGACTATACGAACATCTGTAAAATTGCTTCACAACAGCACCTAGATTTGTGTTTGATGAATAATTGGGAGAAGGAGTGTGTGTGCTACAAAATGGCCACTACTCTTTCTTGTCCTTCATCTCTCCTTAAAGAATGTCTCTTATAGGACAGGCGCGGTGGCTCATGCCTGTAATCCCAGCACTTTGGGAGGCCGAGGCAGGCGGATCAACAAGGTCAGGAGATCGAGACCATCTTGGCTAACACGGTGAAACCCCATGTCTACTAAAAGTACAAAAAATTAGCCGGGCTTGGTGGCCGGCGCCTGTAGTCCCAGCTACTCGGGAAGCTGAGTCAGGAGAATTGGCGAGAACCCAGGAGGCGGAGCTTGCAGTGAGCCGAGATGGTGCCACTGCACTCCAGCCTGGGCCACAGAGTGAGACTCCATCTTAAAAAAAAGAGAAGGTTTTCTTATAGCCTATCCTAACAGGAATCATACTAGAAAGAACATTCTGGGGACTGTAGTTCAGCCTAGGCGAGATGCCATGTTAAAAAGCTATCACAGCTGGAATATATCAACTTAGCTAAGCTGAGCTAAAAAATAGTCCCCAAATTCAGTTTTTTTTAAAGAAGATATTGATTTGGAATAGTACAATGGTTCAAAGATATATAAGTAGCTTCTATTGATATTTGCTTAGGAAGTAACAAATAAGCATTGGCAGACACTGTGAGTTCAACATAGACTGTCTCTTCTCTTCTGTCTCACAACTGCCTTGCTCCTCCCATCCTACACTGTTTTGCATGTAACTACTGCCAAAAGACCTGGTTTTACTTAGCCAGTGAGAAGTAAGAAAAATTATTTTAGAACGTTCCTAGGAATATCGTTGCGTCGCCTGTTTCATTTAACCCTGGCTTTCCTGTTTATTCTTCTCTTAAACACAAGCATAAAAGCAGAAGTTGGAAGAGCTTGCATGTTTTCATCATGGAAAGTTAATAATCAGAGATTTCAGTTCCAGCATGCTGAGGTATGGAACCTCCTTCTTATCTGAAAATAGTAAACCATATCTAAAATTAGTATAGTCAGGATTCCTATTATTGCTGATGAACACCTATTTATCTGTATCGTATATACAATTTTAGCTATAAATCTTCGCCTCAAAAATATTTAAGAGAATTATCCTCACCAATGTGCACATAAACATATGTGCAAAGTTGCTTATTGAAAAATTAATAGCTTATAATAGCAAATGTGGAAACCAGGCTACATATATTTATATATTAAAAATGGATAAATTATTTTTAAAATATAGAATCATGTAACCATAGGTGAATAAGGGCTAAGTAATGCATACTGTGGTAATAACTTGTGAATAGGTGAGCCAGGATGCAACAACGAAATTCTCCTTAATTGATTATCTAGTTGTTTAATTCCTGTGTTGTCTATCTTTGTCCGAAGGCAAAATACTTGAGCTATTAGAAAAAAAATTGAAATACTCTATTCAAATAATTGTTTTCCTGTGTTAAATTTCAAAGTCATCCATCTTTGTAATTCATGGTCTTAGCATCCACAATAACCTGGTTTTATATTCATAGAAATAGAAATATTTTATAATAAATTATTAAGTATAAAAACAGATGATAAAACTATGATTTATACAAACTTATTTTACCGTAACAACAGATTCATACAAACAATGTACATATGTATTATTTATAAATATATTCACTTTATGCATATATGAGGTATGTATTGTTTATCTCTATATTCTATTTTTTAAAAATAAGTATGTGTAAAGTTAAAATTCTGTTGAATTTTCTTTTGAAATTTAATATGTTAAAGTCATGTTTTATGTTTATACTTGAATAAAACTTTTGCACAAAGGAATGTATTCAAATAATATTTTTAAAAAACTAAGAGGAATGAATAGTTCTTATAGACTGAGTTAATGTTAACAGTTTCTGAGAAAATATTTTAGAAATAAACCTTAAAAAAACTATAGTCTTAAGTTTACAAACTAATGAGAGATAATTACTAAAAGTAATCTTGAATACTTAACATGAAGTTTTTTTTATCTTTTTGGAAGCCTACTTAAAACTCACTTTATGATAATGAGTTATACAATAAGTATGCACTTTATTGTAATTGGTATTTTAGATTTTTCAAAATGTCTGGCATTTGTTTCTAAATGAATGATATCTAACTACTGTTTTACATTCTCTAAAGAACTTGGATTAATAACCCTTTTACTAAAAGTTTCTCCATACGAACTTTGTCAGTGAAACTATCATTTTTCTCTTTCATCATAAGAAAGCCCACTCCCTCCAACCATTTATTCTATACCATTGTTTTCCTAACTGTAGTTTTCTCAGTGGATATTTTAACCCTAATTTGCTAAGGTATCTCTGAGTAGCTGACATACATAACTGAACCCAGCACTTCTACAAAGTCTCTCTTCTGTATTTCTGTAATATCTTAGCATAATACTTTAGTACTTACAGGTTTAAAGGTCTTCTTCCCTCCCTTACAATAAGAAACCAAAGAGCAAACATTGCACTCTAATCGACACTATAGGAGAAACTCCTGGTACATAGTAGGACTTTATAAATATTTCACAAATTATTTCTAAAATAAATGACATTTTAATATGAGAAAATACTTTATTTTATGTTATTTTTCATTAGATTGGAAAGTACGATTTCTTTCAGCAAGAAAATATGTGGCACATACCAACATTATTTATGTTTACCCCATCTTTATTTCTGACCAGAATACCTTCAGCCACTTCTTTCCTACCAAAGTTCATGCATTATCACGTAGGCATTCTTTCACTGTCACGCACTGTTGCCAAATTACCACTTCTCAACTATATATATTATTTTGAAAAATGTCTTTCTTTTAATCATTACTGTCAATTCATAACATTGCAATGATACCTATTAAATCATAATCATGTCTCTATGTCAGAATTTCCAGAACACTTTGTGTTTTTAATTAGGAGCAGTATTATACAAATCATCCTAGGCAAATCAGCAACAAACAAAAGAAACACGATTGCTCTTCTGTGTCAACATCCCCATGATATCACTTCTGAGAAATATTGTCTTATATATGCTTGCTTACTTACCTTCCCAATTATCTGTTTCACTTGTAATAGAGCATTGGCCTCTCTCCTGTTCAAATACAAATTTGATTTAGTTGATGATTTTAATAAATTATATGTGTGGTTTGGTTTGATTTGGTTTTCTTATGAGGTGAGATATTTTTGCTAAAGAAGCAATAAAATTCTTCTCTTGGATATCAATATACTATGTAGTTGTTCAATTCCTTTGTCATCCATTTTGCCCAAGGGCAAACTGCTTCAACTATTAGAAAAAAATTGAAATACTATCCCCAGGTAATTATTTTCTTCCCTTAAATTTCAAAGTTATCCAAGATATATTCCACATAAAACTCACGAGAATTTTCATCAGATGTTTGATGATTCCTTTGGTAAGATAATGTTTTACATAAATCACTTTTATCTGGTATAGTGTGAATCTTCAAATTCTATTGTGATTTCTTTTTTATTGAAATTGTAATGGTATTCCTTTTATTTGATTATCCTATTGATTCTTTGTATAATTAAAAAAATTAATAGAATGCAAACAGAATCAACTGCAAACACGAAAAGCCATGGTTTTCTACTGATATTCTAATCTTAGCTAGTTTTAGACCTTGAGCTCACCAGTTAAAGGGAATGTTGTGTCGCTTGAGCATAGATTCTGCAGTGTCACTGAAAGAATATAAAATGAGCATTCCTCAAATCCTTTTCCTAAAAATACCTGCAGTCATTTGCCAACATAAAAGTTATGAGGATTGTTGTGTACAGGGTGTGATCTGACACTTATAATCTAACATGTCATCATGATCCTTCAGTTAGAGTAATTCCATAAAGAACCAGTGATCAATGAAATCTTGATTCAAGTTGATCTCACAGTCATAGAATAGCGTAAAGGTCATAGATAAACTCTTAGGTTATTCCTCGTACTTGACAACAAAATTAGGATGGTTACACCAAACAGCTGGCAGTACACTTACAAGTTTCCCTAATTTGTAGTGTAAGAACTTTTTTGGTAGCAAAGAACAAGTGGCAGTTCTTGAGAATTACTCCTGTTGCTCTGTCAGCTACAACTGTAAATCAGAAGTCGTGCTATATATCCTTGGTAAAATATTAGAGATGATCAACACCCTCAGATACATAAAGGAGATAGGGTTTATTGTCCCACTGTATCTGCTTTTATCTTATGTTTGTGATTCCTGAGGGGAAAAGATGGAGTATAGTAGATTATTCTGCATTATCTTAAATTTGACCAAGTGGCAGGATCAATTCCATTTGTTTTGCCAATGTGGCATCTTTATTGGAACAGATCCATACAGTCTCTGGAGAATGTTATGCAGCTTTTCATCTAGATAATGCATTTTTTTTCAAACCCCATTAGTAAATAGGATCAAAATCAATTTGCTTTTATGAGGGAAGAATAGCTATGCTTTATTACTTTCTTGCCTAAGCTATATCAGTGTTCCTCCAGGTCACTGTCAAACTTGATCATCTCGACACAAAGAGCATCTTGCTAATAACATATACACTGTCACACAGACAGTGCTACACAGATAGAATGGTGGGATGGCCTATGAAAGGCCTAAGTTTCCAGCTTTGGGATCAATTTATGTGGGATTGAGCCATTATCCCCTAGGAGGCATATATGCTTTGGTCAGATGCTAATATAGGTTACTTTGTCTCTAATATCTGGAATATCCATGTCTGGAAACAAAGGGTCAGCCCCTGTCACTCACTCTCAGTAGCCTACTTGCCAATTGTATGCTTCTTGTTCTATACATATTTATATATATATGTGTGTATATGTGTGTGTGTATATATATACACACACACACACACACACACACACACACACACACACACATATATGGAGAGAGAGAGAAAGAGAGAGAGCTGTCACCAGGCTGGAGTGCAGTGGCACAATCTTGGCTCACTGCAACCTCTGCCTCCTGGGTTCAAGCCATGCTTCTGCCTCAGCCTCCCAAGTAACTGGGATTACAGGCATGCCCCACCGATATTAGGTCTCCTTAGAGATCCAATATTAGGTCTTCTTAGAGATTTTTCTTCTTGAGTTTGGGGCTGGAGGGTTCACACTGTCAAGGAAAACAAGAAGTGTTACAATGAACAGGAATCTGTGACTGTCATTTAGCCACTTTGACTTGTTATTCCTGTGGATCAACAGGCATGGAAAGGAGTTAGTATACTATCAGTGACAATTGACACTGATTACCATCAGAAGCTGGGGATGCTGATATGAATGAGTTAGGGAGGAGTATGCCTAAAACCTGTGACATTCACTGTGACAAATCTTGTTTTGTTGTTTTTGTTGTTGTTGTTGTTGTTGAGATGGAGTCTCACTCTGTTGCCCAGGCTGGAGTGCAGTGGTGGGACCTCTGCTCACTGCAACCTCTGCCTCCCAGGTTCAAGCAATTCTCCTGCCTCAGCCTCCCGAGTAGCTGGGACTACAGGCACCCGCCACCACGCTCGGCTAATTTTTGTATTTTTAGTAGAGATGGGGTTTCACCATGTTGGTCAGGATGGTCTCTATCTCTTGACCTCATGATCCACCTGCCTTGGCCTCCCAAAGTGCTGGGATTACAGGTGTGAGCCACCGTGTCCAACCCCAAATCTTGTTTTTTAATACTAGTAATAACTGTGAATGGGCAATTGCACCGAATTTAAACTAACCAAAACAATTAAGGGATAAAGTCCTGGTTTGCCCCTACCAGGCAAGCAAGCTGGACCAACTGAAGTGCTGAATGAGGGTAAAGGAGTTCTAGAACAGATGGTCAAGGAGAAAAATGATGGAATACCTATTATGGAACATGGATGTGAGTTCCATTTGGATGAGTTCCATCCAAAGGAAACCATTTTGGAACTTTAAGGTTTAATATCTGCCCTATTGGATTTCAGACTTGCATGGGTACTCTAGACCCTTTGTTTTTGGGCAATTTCTCTCACTTGGAGTGGGTGTATTTGCCCAATGCCTGTACCCTCATTGTATCTTGGACATTTGAGTTAATGCTGGAATGAGTTGAAACTTTGGGGGACTGTTGGAAAGGCATAATTGTGTTTTAAAATGTAAGGACATGAAATTTGGGAGGGGTCAGGGGCAGAATAATATGGTTTGGCTGTGTCACAACCCAAATCTCATCCTGCATTATAGTTCCCATAATCACACATGTGGTGGGAGGGACCCAGTGGGAGATAATTGATACTTACTCTCATGTTAGTAAGTAAGTTCTCACGAAAGCTGATGGTTTTATAAGGGGCTTCCCCTCTAGCTCAGCTCTCATTTTTCTCCCTCCTGCTGCCATGTGAAGAAGGACGTGTTTGCTTCCCCTTCTGCCATAATTGTAAGTTTCATAAGGCCTCCCCAGCCATGCTGAACTGTGAGTCAATTAAACCTCATTCCTTTATAAATTACCCAGTCTAGTGTATGACTTTATTATTAGCTGTATGAGAACAAACTAATAAAATTGGCTACAGCAGTGGGAACTATAACTTATGGGAAGAGACTCTGAGATTAAATGTATTTGCATTTAGGGTCCCAGAAAAGTAGTGTACACTGGGTTTTCACAAAAGCAGAGCCCCATGTTGTAGAACTGGATATTGGAAGAGAATAAGAATAATTTGGTCTTGTCAGTGTAGACTACATCACTTACTCTTAGATACCACTTCAAGTTCTCTTGCACTGGGACACAGCATATTGTGTCATCCTTGCTGCCATAGAGAATGGCCTCCTGTGTGCACAACCATCACATTTTGTCTCTTGCCCATGCTCTATACCATTCAGCTGCAATGCTAGGTTTTGTCTTCTGCACAGAGTCCTAAGATGCCATCAAATTTGCATTGTGCTCATGTGTGTGCAACCAAAAGTGCAGGTTAATATCTTATAGGGAAAAGTCTTTGATCAATGTAATACTGGAAGCAAAAGATAAATTATTTCTTCTTTTTTCATGTGGAGGAATTTCCAGAAATTAATATAGTTTCCCAGATAAGATTTCTGAGAAGCCAAGTAATAAATTATACAAGATAAAAAATGGTAGCTAATTCAATATGCACTTCCAAAATTTTTCTCCTTTCTCAGTCTCATTACCTTTTAAAATCAATACTGTATTCTTGGGTTTGTACCTCTTCATCAAATATTAACACACGATATTTTTCTCATATTATATTTCCTAGGACACCCATGCCAAGACAAATGTAAATAAGTGGACCAGTTCTCTTACTGAGTAAATATCTATCTTACACACATTTTTAGACAAATTTTGGCTACTCTTACTCTCTGCCTCCTTTTCTTCTTTCTAAGTTACTTAATGTAACTACTCCCCTAGCTATCTTATTTGTAAAAATTCCATCTATTCTTTAAGGCCCTAAAAGATTCCTGTTCTAATTGCTCGTACTACTATTTTATAAGGTTTTTCAAGATGTAATTTTTAAATATTATAAATTGTGTTAATATTCTACCTTTCTATCTATATTTTAAGTTTATTCATGCCAAAGATTGTGTCTATTTCATCTTTCTAGTACTCATCACGCCTATTACAGTCTTTTAAAAATGCAGTATAAATGTTTACTTTGATGGTAATTTATGTTTTCTTCTCTGTGTTATTTTTTTTTTCCTCTTTCTACACCTCCTTTTAATAAGCAGCCAGGACGCTGATGCTCTCATACCTCACAAGTGTTAATGTTTCAAGGTTTAAAGCTTTTGTACAAACTACCTTCCTACATTTTTCTTCTTAAATTCTCATTTTGTGGGACATTAGTCACAAAAAAATGAGTTTTTTTGGAACACCTTTTAGAATAGCAGCTGAGAGGATGGTTTTCTGCCTTAAATGTTTTTTCTTGAAAGATTATTGAGATCAGATGGTTTTGCTGCTATAATTGACTCATGCCCTGCTGGGTATTTGCATCCTCAAAGGGCAGTAAGTTCTCAGAGGGGGAATGGTTACATAATGCATCCAGGAATACTGGACATTAAGCTTTAGGGATAATGTAATCCATCAAAAATTTTGTGCTTTAATTGCCTCACTGAAGCAGTACCTTCTGAATTATTACACAGGCCTCAGGGGGGGCAAAGGAGATTGAATAATGAGTAATATTAAGTTTTCCAGCAAGCATACAAAACTGCAGTTCAAAGTGAAGTTTTATTAGATTAAATAAAAAATTATAACTTAAAATTTCTTTTATCCCCTAGCTTGTGGACTAGGATTCATGGCCATCAGACTGAAAATAAGCAATGAATTGAATTGGTCATACATCCCAGATATCTGAGTGAACAGTCATTCTCCTGCTCCCCCCGCCTTTTTTTTTTTTCCTCCCTGTAGGCTATTCTCTTTAGCAGCATTAGCTAAGTATTTGTTTGCTCCTAGGCTCTGGATAACATGAAGTCTTTTCAGTCATACCCTTTAAACACCAAGATCTTCTTTCTCCCTTAAAACGTGCATTTGCTTTTACCCTTGAGTTTTCTGTTATCTTCGTATCTGGCTGGGTCATGTAAGTCTATTTGTCATAGCTATAAATCAAATCTTGATTAGTTAAGACCATTTTCCAGCCTCCACATTCCCTATGAATAGGACCTTAAAAGCCAGTCAAAAGTAATCATGTAGTTTTTTTTTTATTATTTTTCCTTTTTTAATCACTTCTCTTTATTGGTTATTTAACTTTCCTAGTCTCTTATTTTTCAGAACCAGTATAATTACTTCTTAAAGCGTATAAAACCAGATGGCTAAAGTGGACACAGAGAATGCTTTAACTTACCAGCATTTACAAGGTTTCATTCAAGATAATACAACAAATATTTTAGTTAATACATTTTATTTTAATTCCTTGTTTTGAAATAGGTATTTTTGTTTTGTTTTGTTTTTCTCCTTTTAAGACAGAATGTATTATTAGTCTCTGGGATTTGCTGTAAGTATTTATTATTTAAATTTTGAAATTGAAGGAATCAAAAAGTAAAGTGTCTTTTTTTGAGATTGAAAATTGGAATTCAATGTGATTTTCAGCTTTCATTGTTTATATGGAAACACTTTATTGCCAAAATACTGACAAGTCCATTTCTATCAGGAATTTTGATTCTTATTAAAATTATAAACTATTAGTTTGATATTTCTTCTGTTTTTTTAAAATCTGTGTTCATATATGTTAAATATATTTTAAAGTTTTTGAGAACTCGGGCTATGAGGGTGATGTCAGGTCTCAGGAGGTATGCAAGTTTATGTGTCATCGCTGGGAAAGACGAAAACTAGCATCATGCAAGTAATTTGTATCAGTTATCTCTTTCTGCATGACATATTACCCTAAAATTTTGCAGCTTAAAGTAAAAGACATGTATAATATCATAGTTTCTGTGTATCAGGAATGTGGACAAACCTTAGCTGACTGAATATCTATGTCTCAAGTTCTCATACAGGGTTGTGGTTAAACTTGCAGCCAGGGCTACAGTCTCTCCTGAACACTTGGCTAGGACAGGATCCACCTCTAGGACTTACTTATATGATTTTTTAGTATTGAGTTCTTGTGAACTGTTAGACTGAGGGCCTCCTTTTCTCTCTGGCTATTGGACAAAAGCCTTTTACAGTCCTTGCCACAAGGGCTTGTCTATAGGTCAGCTCAGAATATGGCAGTTGGCTTCCCCTGAAGAAAGTGTCTGTGAGAAAGAGAAAAGGCACTAAGAAGTATAGTCTTTGTGTAGCTAATCTCATTAGGAACATCCCATACTTCTGGCACATTCCATTCATTAGAAGTGAGTTAACAAATCCAGCCCATATTCAAAAAGAAAGGATTTCAATGAGGCAAGGATCATTGAAAGTAGTCATAGAGGTGCCTACACATAACTATTGGTCAGCTCTTGTGAATAAAATGCAACACTACAAATAATAAAATAAAATTAAATCAAGAAAGGTGCATATTTTTAAAAATAATATGATATTATTTAACCTCCAGACACAGCACTTTCTCAACTACAAATTCTTGCTATCTTGTGAGAACAAATTCTTGCTATCTGGAGTTAGGAAAACATAAGTGAAAATAATATAAGTGCTGGAAATATTTGACATTTACAAAACTTGTGAAGTGAAACGTGTGGATTGTGAAGTCGTGGTTCAATCTGACTACGCCATCTTTAAAGGGAGATTAGAAACCTACCTCTGACATATTTGCATATCTGGTATTCTATGATCTGTTCCCATACAGATTCAATAGCAAAATAATGGCCCTATCTGCATTGTTATTTTTAGGTTTAAAAATTGTTTATCCTTTGCTAATTAACCATTGAAATACAGCTCCTGGAGACTATAAATAATTATAAACATTTTTAACAAATACCATCACAAATTTCACATAAGAGATGTTGCCAAACTTTGCTGAGTGATTTACCGAAGGGATGCCCAATGTAGTTTCTTAGCATGGATCTTCTAATACTTCAATTTATCTCAATGCAACTCTTCATGTAAAAGAATTATTATAAGCTTTCTTTCCATATAATAAAATGAAGTCATATTTAGGTTTTTCTGATTTTTGTATAAATAGTTATTTATTCTGTGGAAAATTTGGGGCTACAGCCTGATTATGAATGATGATTTGAACATAAAACTGGCTAAATAAATATTTTTTCTGAACCATTAGACAGCTTCCAACTATTTAAATGAATGTTGATGCATTTAGAATCAGGAAAACAAATATTTTTTAAAATTATTATTATACTCATTATGTCATAAGAGCATACACTCAAATCTAGGCAATAATACCATAGCCAAATTATCTCTGCCCTAAAATGTTTGGTCTCTGTCTCTTACATGATTTTGTTAATTGGTATTTGCTCTGTGCCCAGAATCTCCAAGTTCTGTTATTTTCTGTGGAAATGAGCTGTGGTGAATTAGGTGGTTTTCGTCTTTGGTAGCCCTTTATCTGTCTGCATTCACAGAGACATGAGTAGTCTCTTAAAAGATGTTTGAGTATCTTTACTAAGGCCAAAGTAAACGTCGTTTTACATTTATTTATCAATATTAACTGAACAGAATTTTAACAAATATTGACAACACTGGGGATTTTTTGGTATCTGAATGCAATTATTTTGGCATAGGCATTTTTTCTTTGGTTTAAATAGTCTAAATTTGTTTAGAACTAGCATAAAATCATAATAGAAAATATAATGAGATTTTACTATAAAATCATCATCTATAATATGTTTGTTGTCAGGAAATGATTTTCAGTAATGTTCATATTGCTTAACCTGGGAGCATATCTTTTTTATCACATATATTCTACCCTCTTATTTGGGGAGGAAGAGATCTTGAAGACCCTGCACCTTGTCCTTAGGCTAACTTAAGGATATGGCATAAACACTAAATTATTTGCTTCCTACACTCATTGCCCAGCCATTCATCTTTTCTTCTCCCCTACTGACCTTCAGGACCATTAATGCTTCAAGATGTTATGTGAGTTATGAGTTTCTAATTTATGTTCAGTGAACTCAATATATTCTAAGAAAAGAGGAGTAATCAATGTGACTCATTCTTTGTAAAATTTCAAAACAGCATAAGAAAACCAATTCAAGAACAAACGAAATATTGCCAACGTTCTCTGAAATATGAAAAACTTGGGGATGACTAAGACTTCTTTCTGTACATGTCATATTTGCTCTTCTATTGACTTACCTATCAATACCCATGGCAGCTGGAAGTCACTCAGTTTAGATTAAAAGATAAAATTGGTGGGCGGGCGCAGTGGCTCATGCCTATAATCCCAGCACTTTAGGAGGCAGAGGCGGGTGGATCTCGAGGTCAGGAGATGGAGACCATCCTGGCTAACACGGTGAAACCCCGTCTCTACTAAAAATACAAAAAAAAAAAAAGTTAGCCGGGCGTGGTGGCGGGCACCTGTAGTCCCAGCTACTCAGGAGGCTGAGGCAGGAGAATGGCGTGAACCCGGGAGGCGGAGCTTGCAGTGAGCCGAGATCGCGCCACTGCACTCCAGCCTGGGCGACAGAGCGAGACTCTGTCTCAAGAAAAAAAAAAAAAAAAAAAGATAAAATTTGAGAAAAAAAAAAAAAAACAACCATCTACTGCACAGGCACCTTTGAAGAAGTTGGGGTTTCCGTTGTGAATCCAAACCAACAAATCCAGCCTTCAGAATTCTCTGGCAGTTTGTTTTCAGGGTTTATGAAAACACTGAAAACTCTGGAAAACATGAAGTCTTTTCAGTCGTACCCTTTAAACACCAAGATCTTTTTTCTCCCTTAAAATGTGCATTTACTTTTATCCTTGAGTTTTCTATTATCTTCGTATCTGGCTGGATCATGTAAGTCTATTTGTCATAGCTATAAATCAAATCTTGGTTAGTTAAGACCATTTTCCAGCCTCCACATTCCCTATGAATAGGACCTTAAAAGCCAGGCTTCAGAATTCTCTGGCAGTTTGTTTTCAGTGTTTATGTATATTCTGATGACATAATTGCTGCCAGCCTTCCTCTCCACAGCACAGACAAAGCTTTCAGACTTTACTTATGCCTATTCTTAGATAATCTTAAGAAATATTCTTTGGTCTTCTGTCAGGATAAATTGTCAAAAACATCTCTACATTAACTTTTAATAGGCGCTGCCTCATGAGAATACTTACATTTCAGGATAACATATCAGGAGTTGGGCGAGTGGGCTAAAGCATGTGCATTACAAGGCAAAATGGCGAGTTTAACTGGTATATGCCCTTCCACTAGGAACACTCACTTCGGTAAACACAGTACACATGCAGCCCCTCCCAAGTGCTGGAGGCCACTGAACTTGCAGACAGCCTGACAGCCCACTCTTGCTCACTAAAGCTTGCCTTGGTCTCTCACTCTGCCTTATGCCCCTTGGACAAATTCTTTCCTTTGAGGAGGCAGGAATCAAGTTGCTGCAGACCTGTATGGATTTGCCACTGCAAACATACTTTGGTAGTGATATTAAGAAAATATTTTTATAAAAAATTGTCTTCTAATGATAGACATTCAAAATATTATAATTGGCTTGGGAGAGGTGCCACTCAATTTACGTTAGAAATGTGACCACCAAATTCGTTATTTCTAAACTACATATTTTATATATACATAGGAGTGAATGAAGCAATTTAACACTAAAGACAGGCTTTGAGGTTGCCTTCAATATATTTCGGAAAATCAATCTGCACTCTGACATTTCAAAATTCATTTTTTGCATTGCAATAAAATTTCATCTATAATTCTTAAGAACCCGGTCTCTGGGTTTGGAGCATATCGTGGGTTTGCTATTGTCTCAAGGACTGGGCAAGCTGCCTTCTCCTTCCTGTGACTGTTGTCTACTGAGCTCCAATTTTCTGTTTCCTTTCACCCAGAGTGAAGTATTAGCCTTTGTATGAGTAAGAGTCTACTCTTGCTTTACACTTTTGAGAGAGACTGTAGTGAGGTCCCCTCATCTAGCAGTTGTCTCTCAAGATTCTTTCTGAAATGGTGGGGTTGAGGAGCAGTGTGCTACAGGAGTATTGCATTTTACTCCTGGTGGTGGTCATCCTAGCCTTCTCCCAAGAATGTCATTAGAAAAGGATCTCAGCTATCCATGCAGAGGCCATAAGCAGCCTCGCCAATCCTCTCTACTTGCCTCTCTGGATCACAGAAGGATGCGGTCATTTTTATTCTATGTGACATGCTATGCTTCACTAGTGATGCCTGATCACTAGTCCATGAGTCCTACATCATCCTACAGCCTTTCTCCTTGAATCCTGCAATCAGCAACAAACACTTTTGCAGGCTTCTGATTAGCATATGAAAATCTGTTTGTGGTTATATGCTATGAATATCTACCTTTCGAAGCAGACAATCCACCTAGGGCCTTAGGATCTGAGATTTTATTGTATTATGTGAAATATTTTGTCTAGTTAAGATACATATATTAATTCTGTAATATTTTTAAATTTTGAAAATATATATTTTGAATTTTGAATACACACACACACACACACACACACACACACACACAATTTCCTTAACAACAAGATGTAAGTGGTTGATAGCTGGTGTTCCCAACCAAAGACTGGATGATGGGCAAATAGTGTAGTTGAAAAAACTTTAGAGTTAGACATAAGTCATTAATATAAAGTTCCTTTGGGCAAATTATTTAAACCATCTGAGTTTTAGTTTTGTTATCTATAAATCCAAAATAATTATTTTTCACAAAGTTGTTAAATAAGTTGATGCATGTAAAAAAAAGCACAGTGGAAGAACCCATTTGAGAGATAAACTTGTTTGTCCATATTTTCTTCCAAACCCTCTAGATTATTTTCATGGTAATTTCAGTGGATAGACTGCTTGGCACCGCATAGGGTGCACTATTTCAATCATTATTAAGCACGAAATTCAGGTTACAACACCCAGAAGGGATGCTCAACTATTCAGCTGCCTTTTGCCTTAGTGTTTATTTTACTGATGATGTTTTCTCGTCTTTTTCTCTCTCTTTTCCTGGATGAACTTTTTAAATTCCCTTTTTCTTTCTTTCTTTTTTTTCTTTCCATTTTTATTTTCTCTTTCACTTCTCAAGAAATAACTTCTTATTCTGTCTCACTCACACCAAACACTGACATTTAGGAATCCCAGACCTTATCTGTCTCTTTTCTAGTTCCTTCCACACATTCTAAAACAAGTCCAGATCTATGTACTTGTAAGTAACAGATGCTTCATTTGTTTATTTCCTCCCTCCATCCTTATATTTGATTTCTTGTTTGAGGAAAAACGACCATCTAGACAGGCCATGAAAAGTGTCTGCACTTGCCTGTTTTGTTACTTGGTAAATAATGTTGAAAGATCTGTACCCTACCCTACCTTACAAAAAGCATAAAGTTCTGGTGGACAGACCTTATTTTAGTTCTTAACAACTTCAGGTGTATAAAAAAAGTTTTCAAAATGTAAATGTAAATTGCTACAAGATCACTGTTAATATCTTATGGTGACTAGTTTAAAACTATATTTTGGGTAGGTGACAGTTTACTATATTCTGCATCTAAGAAACTTTTTCTCATAATTTAACTTCGGAAACATGTTTCCATAATTAAACTACTCCAGATCATTTGTGTTTAATTCTTCTGAGAGCTTGGATTAACAGTCTTCTATAAAAACAAAGTAAAACAAAGATTAAAAACAAAAAACTTATCCTTAAGGTTTAATGGAAGATCAATCTTATTTTGATTGTTTTTTTTAAACACCTGCTTTCTGCATTTTAGTAATCTTTATAAAAAATTAAGGACTAAGAAGATTAATCATTATTATTGCTCTGTAGTGATTCACATGCACACAAATATCACATTTTAAAACACTTAATGAATTAACTTTCCTAATTTCAAACCACAAGGCAAAAAGAATGTCTGATACTCTTGGTGCTATGTATTTGGAAGGTGCCCTCGGTGCTATTGTAAATGCTCGATAGACTTAACATTGTGTAAGTATGAAGTACACTGAGTGTTGCCTTTTTCTTAAATTCAAATGAAACCATTTTAAATAGATAATCTGCTATGTGACCAAATGAATGATATGGAGAGAAATAGAAGGTTGAAATAAAGGTAGTTCATATATTTCACACAGTAATAATACCGTTTGTAAATTTATTGCAGGCAATATTTATCCTAACCCCCGCATCAATTTTTTAGCAATGAAGTTTCTGAGTTACATGAATACTATATACATGTAATACTAGTAAATTTGATATACAGCATGAAAATGTCTCTGAACCCACTGGAGTAAGAATGTGATTCATAAAGTAGCACTCCATCAAAAGGACAATTGCCTTCCAGCAAAGGCTGGGCACATTTCGTGACATCTATTAGAAAAGAGTTCAGGTAATCACAAGGTAATGGTTGATTTTTAAACAGTTCTCTCTGGCCTATTTTAAATTACTAGAGGAATAAGAAACTTCTGACTTGTGATAGATTTAAACATTGAGCTTTATCATGCTTTTTGGAAATAGTTTTTTCAGCATTCTCTTAAAAATCTATAGTAGTTTTAAAGAGGAACATACTCTAATGAAATATACTAATACATATAAGGTGACTTTTGAGCTAATTTACATTAAATGAAAGTATAAATAATTTATTTGTGGCCTAAAATAAAATTGGTATGGGTAGCTTCTCTATTATATAATCAGCTCTATTATATAGCTTTAGACTCTAGTAAGCCATTGTGGACTAGTCAAAAAATACAGGTATTAATCCACATTAGTTACTCAAGAAATCATTACTGGACTGGAAAGACAAATGGATGTATGGTTTATTAGATAGATGGATCACTGGATAAATTGAGTGGTGAATAGAAAAACAAGTAACCAGCTGGGCACGGTAGCTCACGCCTGTAATCCCAGAACTTTTGGAGGCCAAGGTGGGTGGATCTCGAGGTCAGGAGATCGAGACCATTTTGGCTAACATGGTGAAAGCCTGTCTCTATTAAAAATACAAAAAATTAGCCGGGCGTGATGGTGGGTGCCTGTAGTTCCAGCTACTCAGGAGGCTGAGGCAGGAGAATGGTGTGAACCTGGGAGGCGGAGCTTGCAGTGAGCCCAGATTGTGCCACTGCACTCCAGCCTGGGCAACAGAGAGAGACTCTGTCTCAAAAAAAAAAAAAAAAAAAAAAAAGAGAGACAGGGAGAAAGAAAAACAAATAACCTAGTAACTAGTTAGGTTTTAATTTTTAAAAACTAGTAAGATAAATAGTCAATACTCAAAGTTTTGTTTAAAGTTTAAAGTCTAGGGATCTGGAAGAATTTTTTTGAGAATACATGAATTTTTGTTTCCTATTATTAGTGTATAGTGAGAACTTGCAAAACGCTACTAAAAATTTTATTCATATCATCAAGATAGCTTTATCACAAACAAAAATACTTAAGCAAGAAAAAGATTATGATAACACATCCCCTTCTTAAAAATATTTTCTATTGTTGGTTAATTCTAAGAATTTATCTGATTTCTAGTTCTCCAGAATTAGTACTGTGACAAGGATTTCAGTACTCGTAGTTTCTTTGTGATATAATTCCAAAACATGCCAGTATAAAAGAAGTGAACCCGAGAAAAGAAAAAAGCAGAAGCCAATAAAGGAGGTGTGACCCACTAAGTTTCCTCTGTGGACAACTGGAACTCAATCCTACTGCAAACTCTGCCAACCAATATGAAGAACAGTCATGAGAATTAGATCACCAAAAGGCAAAGAAGCTTGGATATCTACCCACCAACCTCACGATATAGTTATTGAGGGCTGTTCTCAGAGGGGAACATTTATCCCATAGCCCTTTATTCCTCTTATTTGTGCAGCAGACACCTATGGCCAGAGAGAATCCTTACATAGGGTTAGTTCTAAGTGCTGTGAGTTGGAATCTGGACAGAAATGCATGGAAATGTGTGATGTGGGAATCTTGGTGGGGCAGAGATGGTAGCTGTCACATCACACTCCTTTCTCATTTGGAAATTGAGACATGCCATTGTATACAGTGAAGATCATTTATTCATTAGACAAGTATCTACTAAATATGGGCCATGTGCCCCTCCTCTCAGTTAAGACCTGGAAATAAAGTGGAGATGGAGGACAAACAAGTTTTTTCTTTTTTTCTCCATTTAATTTATAGTATAGTAGGCAAGATAAACAAAAACAGAATTTCAAAAGTAGTACTACTTCACAAATGTGATAACTGCTAGGAAGAAGTAGATGGTTTTATGAAAGATTGTATGTTCTCTTTTTTTTTGAGACAGGCTCTCACTCCTGTTGCCCAGGCTGGTGTGCAGTGGCTTGGTCCTGGCTCACTGCAGCCTTTACCTCCTAGGCTCAGGTGATTCTCCCTCCTCAGCCCCCTGAGTAGCTGGGACTACAAGTATGCACCACCACACTCGGTTAATTTGTTGTAGTTTTTGAAGAAATGGGGTTTCGTCATGTTGCTTAGCGTAGTCTCAATCTCCTGGGCTCAAGTGATCCACCCACCTCAGTCTCCCAAATTGCTAGGATTACAGGTGTAAGCCACCATGCCATGCCCATATATGTTGTTAATAACTGAAAATCTGTGCTAGTGTTGTTCAGCCATCAAATAAAGTATTCTACACAATAGTAAAATGTTGTAAATCATCAATATCATACATTGATTTTTCATGTTTTCTACTCCTTAGCAACTAACTTATTATTTATTATCTTGTTTCTTGATTTATTTAGGAAGCACAGTTTTCCTTCTCATCAAGCCACCAACTCTATGACAATGGCTCTCATTTGGGGATGAAGCAAAGCAGTTACTGAAAATCAAAAGAATGTTGAGAAGAGAAAAGTTGTCATGGAAAGAGCTCTGACCCCTAATTCAGCTGAGGCTACCAGAGAAGCAGAGTCCCTGCCTCTTTTTTTATCAGGCCCTTAGCAACTCACTTATGGTGAATACTAGTGATGTAGTTTGCTTGTACATAAATTTCCTACCAAAATGTATGAATTTTATACCATTTGGCATTCTTTGTTTCAATGAATAAATCTCAAACTTTACTCTTTTATTTTATTTGTCTGATTACATGTCTATGTCACCAAATCTGTGAAATCCTGTAAGGCAGAAAAAAATGTCTTCACATATCTATACTTTAAGATACCAATGCTCACCTGGCATATGGCAGGGCACAACACGTATTTGATGACTAAATGAAAATAATATAAAATATCACCTAGTTATACACCAATAATCTGAGACATAATTATCATATCTGAGATCTGTGTGATTTTTTTTGAGATGGAGTTTTGCTCTGTTGCCCAGGCTGGAGTGCAATGGCACAATCTCAGCTCACTGCAACCTCTGCCTCCCAGGTTCAAGCAATTCTCCTTTCTCAGCCTCCCAAGTAGCTGGGATTACAGGTGCATGTCACCATGCCTTGCTAATTTTTGTATTTTTAGTAGAGATGGGGTTTCACCATGTTGGCCAGGCTGGTCTTCAACTCCTGACCTCAGGTGATCTGTCTGCCTCGGCCTCCCCAAGTGCTGGGATTATCGGATTGAGCCACTGTATTATACATGTTGTTATTTATTAACACAACATCACGTTTTAATCTTACCACAGAACCTTAATGAAACACGGAAGCTGTTTTATTTCCAATTCAAACATGAGTTAAGTAAAACACATAAAGTTAATTGAGTTGGCAGAGTAAAAAAGATAGTAAGTGACATAATTCAGATTTGAACTTCATTCATGTTGAGCCTAAATTCGGTGTTGTTTCAATGTGACTGAGCTATCAGCACCTCACTTAGATTACATTAAGGAGTCCATTCATTTTAACCATGGCCAATGATTTACTTAGCAGAATTTTATATAAATAATATTACAGAGTTTGTGAATGTATAATCCCAATAATTATGCAGTTCTCAATCTTCAGTAGCATCTAACTGTACATACTCTGAGAAATTTCACATTATATTTACTGCACTTAAAGTACAACTGGCTCCATTTGTTTATTAATGCAGGAAAAGGTGCCTTTTTATAGATTTTTTAAATAGATTAAAAAAGTGCTATTTTAGCTTTTTAAAGTTTTGATGGAAACTTTTCTCTAATTGCAATCAGTATTAAAAATTTGTTCTGAGTTATAAGAATGAATATAGAAATTCACCTATTGAGTATTGATGCCATGGCAAGAAAATTTATCCTAGTCTTTCCTCTTCTCGTTGGATATTGTTAAGAGGTCAATACAAAATTATATTTAAGAGGTAATAAAATCAAAGTATAGAGAGTTGAGTTGACTTATACATATATGTGTGTGTGTGAATCGGCCTTCTTAAAATTTCTATGTCACAAATCTAAAAGTGTCCTCTAAACCCTGCCTTATAAATAATTATATGATGACAATTGTATAAAGTTTAAGTTGAATGCTATCAGACGTCAAAGAGAAGTGGTTCTCCAGGAAAAAATAATAAGAAAACAATTATCAAAAAAGTATCTTGACTTCTGGATGTAAGCACTGTAACTGAATTTTACAATCTGAGTTGATACAGACATCAGTCTTTATTGAGTTGTGATTTTCACTTCAGACAATAAAAATGTATTACCTTTTCTATAATTTTTACCCAGGGTAATCTTGCTTTAAATGTGTTTCTTAGTTGCCAAGGCAACCAGCATTCCTTATCTTGCCATTTACACTTATTTTGAACACTTATTGTAGTTTTTTGGTCCTTTTTCTTTAAACAATGGCCTAACAAATACATGCAATATCTGCAAAAGTTATTAAAAATGATAATTTCAAAAATTATTCTGACTCAGTAGTAATTTCATCTTTATTAATGGTATTGTTCATCACAGTCACCTCCTATTTCACTTACCAAGTAAAGGTTACTAAAAGAAGAAATAAATGTATGGTTATAGTAGAGTAATTGCAAACAATCATCTACCTGTCTAGATTGACTTAAAATATTAGCTGAAAATAAATATGTATATCTATTAAATAAAAAGTAATACTGATTAAAGTACCTCAAATCTGGCTGTATTTTAGAAGCCTTCTTTAAAAGTTATGAGAATGAACTAGATAATTTATTAATATTTTCTCTTAACATCTAAAATTGTGTGCATGTGGGTCTCACTAGTGAATGCTACCATAGGATAAAATACAGTTAAAAACAACAGGTGAGAAATTAAATATATATTTTGTATGTGTTATAACTCTAAACATACACACACAATTTGTTAGAGATCAAATTGTTATTAGTGATTTCATTATGCTCATTTTAAAGAAAAATGTAAAGTTAAGACTTGTGAAACTTAATTGAAAATATTTAGAGATTATCGGTCAAAAATACATCATTGATAATAACTGTATTTCCTCAGCTATTTGTCATAAAGAAAGAGAATTGATTAGCTTGAGTTAAATACATTGTTGAACAATAATGTATTTAATGTTTCAGTGTTTGGGGCTATAAATTTGTAGGATAACAGCTCAGAAAGAGATTTTTCTCTCTTCATATCCATCGTTGAAGCAGAGCTCAAGTAAATATACAGTCAATATAATACAAAGGTCAATGAATATAAGTACTATGGGTTTAGTCTACATTAAATGTCATGGACATTATGTATGTGTGGATGGCTTTTGGAGATCAGATTGTATGCAGAGGATAGCATATAAAATAAACTTGGGAGAATAAATGAGAAAATAAGAAGAACAGATCATTTTTGTGAAAGAGAATATGAAATCAGATATAACCAGACACAAAAATTGAGTATTTCAGTGCAAAGAGGAATAAATTATATGATTAATGATGATAATCTCCTTTGTTATTGAAAATGTTTACTGCTAATATGAAAAAGCTTTTCATAGTTTGAAGTGAAATAGCCACTGAAAGATGACTCAAGATAGCCATTTTTCTTTAAGTGACTAACCATAATTTGAATAAGTATAGAAATAATTTAATTTTTAAGACTTATTACCAAAATGAGGAAAAATTAAGTAATTTTAATATTCAAAGAAAACATATTATAAAAAGCTTTACCATAAAAAGAGTACAAACCCAAGTGAGGCAGCATATTGGGAATTGAGATTGTTAACATATCATCAAGGGTTTTTTTTTTTAATATTCCATTTATTGCCAGGAACAATTATTGGCTTTCTCCCACAGTCTCACTAGAAATACTTACAAATTTCATATTGTACTTCAAGATGTTTGTATGCCTTCATTCTTATGATATTAGAAGAAACTCATAATCAACTCTCAGATACTGGAGCCCAGAAGACAGAAATGCTCAGCAACATTTAAGTGAATGCTCCTCATTTCATTTACTGTCTCACACATCATCTAAGTAAGATCACAAATCTCTCCTACAAAGAGAAAAATGATGAATTTGTTTACTCTTTAAAAAAGTAGGACAGGTATCAGTGTGACATTGAAAATCCCCTTAGGTAAAAGATAAAGATCCAGAAAATTATGAGACGTTGAGGGGCCAAATTATTATTGGACGTCTAATATCACATGTGGCTATTTTTATATTATGAACTTAACATATAAATTATGTTCTACATATTATTCATAGGACTTTCTTAATACATGGTTATACATTATTGATTAAACATTCTAATGTATTTACTTAAGAAGACAAAGTTTAATTGCTTAGTTTCTTTCTTCCCGAGGTTCACTGAGGCATAACTAACAAAAATTGTATATATTTAAGGTGTACAATGGAATATTTTGAGATATGTATACATTGTGAAATGATTACCACGATCAAGCTAGTTAACATGTCACTTCACACAGTTACTATTTTGTATGTGTGAGAATACTTAGGATCTACTTTCTCAGCAAATTTCAAGTATACAAGGTACAATTTTTAACTATAGTCATCATGATGGGCATTAGCTCTCCATAATTTATTCATTTTACAACTGCCAAGTTTGTCCCTCTGACCGACATTTCCCCATTTACCCCAACTTCCTACCGCCAGTAATCATCCATCCATCCATTCTTTGCTCCCATGAGTTCAACTTTTTAGATTCCACATATAAGTGAGATCATGTAGTACTTGTCTTTCTGTGTCCATTCCAATTCTTATCTGTTTTCCTGTGTAAAGTAATTTTTTTAGACGATTTTATAATCTGTTCTGTTTCAAGGCTTTCTTTTGTCCTTTGTTTTCTGCAGTTTGAATATGATATTCTTCAGTATAGATTTTTGGGGTATTTGTTTTGTTTGAAGTTTCCGAATCTGTGGTTGGTTTCTGAATCTGTGGTTTGGTTTCTTCTATTAGTTTTGGACTATTCTCTGACATTATTATTTCAAATATTCCTTCTAATTTTTGTCTTTCTTCATCTTCTGGTATTCCAATTACATGTATTATGTGTACCTTGAGAAGTTGTTCCACAGTTCTTGAATATTCTGTTCTACTTTTCTCATCTTTTCTCTATGAATTTCAGTTTGAGACGTGTCTATTGACATCTTGAAGCTCGCTGACTTTCCCATGGCTATTTCCAGTCTATCAATGAGCCCATCAGAATTATTTTTAAATTCTCTGTGGTAGTATTTTTTATTTCTAGTGTTTTCTCTTGATAATTTTTTGGTGTTTTCATCTGTTTGCTTACTTTAGCCATCTGTTCTGCTTGCTGTTTACATTTTTACATTAGAATTCTTATCATATAATTCATAGTAATTTCTATTTCCCTGTCTGATAATTACAAAAGCTGTGTTGTATTTGAGTCAAGTTTTGATGCTTGCTTTGTCTTTCCAAACTATGTTTTTGTTTGTTGGCTGGGTCTATCTATATCTATCGTCTATTTATCTGTCATCTATCTATCTACCTACCTACCTATCTATCTATCTGCATCTTAACACACTTCACTTTAGGCTGCAGTCTGAATGTTTGTGTTCCCAACAATTTATATGGTGCAGTCCTAACCTTCAAGGTGGTGGCATTAGGAAGTAGGGCATTTTGGGAAGTGATTAGGTCAGTGAGGTCCGAACACTCACGAATGGGATAAGTGAAATGAGCGGAATTAGAGTTCTTATAAAATAAGCCCTAGAGAGCTCATTTGTCCTTCCACCATATTAAGGACACAGCTAGAAGGTGACAACTATGAGCCAGAAAGCCACCCTCACCAGACACCAAACCTGCTAGTGCCTTGATCTGGGACTTCCCAACCTCTAGAACTGTGAGAAATAAATTTCTGTTGTGTATAACCTACCTAGTTTATGATATTTTGTTTTAGAAGCCCAGACTAAGACACCTTCTATTTTGTTGTTGTTGTTGAAAACTAGACATAATATGAACCAAAATAAATATACCTTTAGTATGAGGTTTTATGTTCACTTGGGAAGGAGTTGGGCTATGTTGAATATTTGCTGTGGCAACAGGTGTCAGAGTTTCAAATTCTTTTAATGTCCTTCTTTTTGTTTCTTCTGTTGTCTTTGGGTTTTACTTAAAGAAAAAAATCAACAACCAAAACAAAAAATCCTTCTTACATGTGTGCCTTGTATCTCGTTCAGCTATAATCCACTATTATTACACTGGAGCCCTATACATGTGGTGGGAACGTGTGGGTGAGGGGTAGAGATCTACAACATTGTAATTAAAACTCAATGTTTTAGTAGGTCTTTGTTCTTGGCTTGACTTTCACACATTTTCTTAGCTCCCACCTCCCCCTCACCTTTTCTGAGGCAGTTGGGCTAATATAGCTAGAGTTGTAAAATTGCCCTTCTCCTGGGTATGAGAGTTGTAAAATTGACCTTCTCCTGGGTAAGATATAGCTCTGATAAAGTCTTTTTCCCTGCAGAGTAGGCCTTTGTTTTACAGAAAGATCCCAGTGTTTTTCAAAATAGTTACTTTTCCCCTGAACTTCCAGAACACAGGATTTTTTCTTTTCTGTTCACTATCATAACCTATGAGTTCCTATGGGTAAATTTCACAAAATTGTGGAGGACCATCCAAAAGGAAGGCCTCTAGGACTTTGCTTATCTCATGCTAATCCACATCCAGCCTCAGAAATTCACCAAAGTTATAGTTACGATGTTGTTCCCGGACCGAATGGGTGTGTCCGGCTGCTGGTTCTCGCAGACCAACAAAGAGATGCAGACTGGCTGGGAAGGAAGGGAGCTTATTTCTGCAAACTGTTAAAAGGAAGAGCTCGGAGTAACTCACCAGACCAACTCAAAATTACAAGTTATCTAGTGCTTACATACATTTAATACACCTATAAGCTGAAAGCCAAAGTGTTTCACTCTATCTATTCTTTATCTAGGGTTTGGGGTCTAAACAATTACTGCAGAGCCTTGGAAAAAGTATTTAATTTAAAGTGGGTCCTGGTACAAGGTGTACAAGAACGTCTCAGTTGTTTTAATTAAACTCTGAAGTCTGAGAAAGCCCAGGCCGGGTCTTAAATGGACTTGGTTTTATATTCTAGCCTTTGTACTAAGGCACTGGTTTCCCCAGTTCTTTAATGTTTAACTTATGTATTCATAAGAGTTACAGCAAGGTGTTGGTGAAAGCTGACTCCTCTGTTTGGAAATGGAGACCTGGTCTGCCACATGTTTTGGTAAAAAATGGAGGTTTTGATCAAAAGTAGACTGTATATACACGGTAGTCCCTTATGATTAAAATGAGGCTGAAAAATTCCTATGGCATAGTGGCATTGTAGCCATCATACTACGGTAGTGCAATGCATTACTCATGTGTTTGTGGTGACACTAGTGCAAGCAAACCTCTTGGGCTGCCAGTCGTATAAAAATATCACACATGTAATTATGTACAGTACATAAAACGGGATAATGAAAATAAACTTAGTTTCTGTATTTTCCGTAATATACTTCTTGTCATTATTGTAGAGTGTACTCCTACTACTACTAAAATAATTGTTAATTGAACAATAGCCTCAGGCAAGTACTTCAGGAGGTGCTCCAAAAGTTATTTTTGTTATTACAGGAGATGATGCACTTATCTCAGTCATTAAGTGAAATATGACTGCACTCGTTTAGGCCTACCAGTTTATGGCCCCAGTGGCTTTAGCCCCAGGTAAGCAGATCTTTGATATGACTGTCTACATTCACCTGTCTCCAGATTTTGGAGTGGTGGTTTACCCTGGGAATCACGACTCTCATGAGTCAAAGAAAATTACTGATTTTCAGTTTGTGCAACATTTTTTTTCTATGTAAAGACAGGAGTGGCTGTATCCAAGGTATTTTCACATTGCAACTGGAACTAGTAGTTGTAGACAGATTTTTAAATTCAAAAATAACTCGTTTTATTTTTCAATTCACTTAGTATTTTATGTGATTATGCTATCTGTGTCAGCTAAGCTTCAAATCTGCATATAATCGGATTTGTTCGAGGAACAGATAAGGGGACTAAGGAGAAGAGTTTCCTGTTTTGCCAAAAGTAGAGGAGAGGAAACGATGGAGAAGCGAGCCTGGTGACTGAACTCTCCTACCCGATGGAGGACTAGCTGAGACCTATTGAGGAGTGGATGAATTTATTTTTCTAAGAAGAAACTCTGATATTAAAGTTGGTGCTTAGACTCAGGTGACAATATGCAAAAAAGAAAAAATGAAGGAGTGAGCTCTTCGGTTATTTTAGTCATGTGGAGTCACTTTAGTACTTGGATAACAGATTTGGAAACATGAAAAAGATTGCACGCTGGTGTGTTGATTTCATACTCACAAGAAGAATCAGAAACACTGGTGGAAGCTAAGGCATTTATGTAGCATCTCCATCAGAGTTCAGCAATTAACAATTAACAGGTTTAGAATAGGAAAAAGGGAAATGGCCATAGCGAAGTAATTATTGCTGGCAATTTTTTTAAGCACATATGTAACATTCCCTGGAGACCAACAGAACATTCCCTGGAGACTAACAGAAATAAACAGCTCAATGCGGGGCTCATTTCCCGTAAAAGCAAGTGAGATGGGACACAACAAAATTTGTGTTATAACTTTTACTCTGACTTAAAATACAGGATGGCACAACTTGAGAAAATTTAAATTACACATTTAAAACCCTTTCTCAAATTAACCTCTACATAAAATCCAGTTTTACTTTGACATGTGTATATTAAAATCTGAGTCAAAAAATGAAATGCATTAGATTATCCTTAAATGAAACAGCTGTTTATGATACTGTTCTTAATTTCTTTGCTAGTTACAAAGATATGTTACTAACTATAACTGCAAACGAAAAAATTTTAATACAAAACAGCTAATATTATTTTAAAAATAATACTTGTCTTCTGAAACAATTTAATTTCATATTGAGAGCTAAGTGACATTTTTATTTTCTAAGTTTCCAATCTTAAGAAAGGAAGACAATTAGAATGAATGTGGATACATAATTGATTCTGCCAGGCTAGAAGGGGAAAAAATATTTTTGTCAAAAATGTCAAAAATATGTTTCCTTGTTGTTATTAATTACAAAGCCCTAATTAAATAATACCCTGGGAACTCTAAATCAATGACAGATGACTTTGTCCTTCAGAAGGAGCAGATGGGAGGATGTCAGTATAAATTTGAATTATATTAGGTTAAAGGTATAAATAAACATTATTATCATAAAAATGATGTGTCAAAACACATTTTAAATAATTTTTTTAATACAATTTGTCACTCTTGCCTTTTTTTAACCCTTTGACCAACAGCTCCCCATTTACCTCCAATCCAAGCTTCTGGCAACCTCTGCTCTACTCTCTGCTTCCATGAGTCTGGCTTTATTAAATTCCATATACAGGTGAGACTGCATCTGGAATTGGTGGGTTCTTGGTCTCGCTGACTTCAACAATGAAGCCGCGGACCCTCCGGTGAGTGTTGCAGTTCTTAAAGATGGTGTGTCTGGAGTTTGCTCCTTCTGATGTTCGGATGTGTCCAGAGTTTCTTCCTACCGGTGGGTTCGTGGTCTCCCTGGCCTCAGGAGTCAACCTGCAGACCTTCACAATAAGTGTTACAGCTCATAAAGGCAGTGCAGACCCAAACAGTGAGCAGCAACAAGATTTATTGCAAAGAGCAAAAGAACAAACACCACACTGCATGCCAACAGAAAGCAGCCAGCTGCCGTTGCTGGCTAGAGTGGCCAGCTTTTATTGCCTTATCTGGCCCCACCCACAGTCTGCTGATTGGTCCATTTTACAGAGAGCTGATTGGTCCATTTTACAGAGAGCTGATTGGTCCGTTTTGACAGAGTGCTGATTGGTGCGTTTACAAATCTTTAGCTAGACACAGAGCACTGATTGGTGTGTTTACAATCCTTTAGCTAGACAGAAAAGTTCCCCAAGTCCCTACCCGACCCAGAAGCCCAAGATGATGCGGTATTTGTCTTTGTTTGGCTTATTTCACTTCACTAATGTCCTCTATTCTTGCTATTCTGTCTCATCTGTTTGTCCTTTCTTTTCATGAAATGTTCTATAAAATATTCTAGAATATCTTCAAAATGTTTTTACTCTTAGATGATTAAGGATAAGTTCCAATTAAATTTCCTTCTCAGAGAATGCTCTCTCAATTTCCCATTGCTTTATTCTGTATTTTTATTGGAAAGTTAAATACCAATTTTTGTTATTATCATTTTGAAGAAAATCAGAAAAGAACAAATACTGCCTGTTTATATATCATAATACATAGAATCATTTTCAAAAGAAATATTTTCCAGGTTGAATTTCAGTGAGGGAGTTGAAAGACTTTATATCCCTCTGTTTCTTTACCCAGAATTTAACGTGATACTGTTCACTAAACAGAAAAATTAGTATAGCAATATCTAAAACACACGTACACTCAACGCACATTAATAAGAACATAAGAAAGAGCACAGGTATTGCTGCTTTTCTATATTTATTAAGCTTTTCAATTTTAAAATATTTACTATTTCATTCTCATGATTTAGAGAAAATACAGTTACAGGACTTTGTTTACCTTTGATAACCTAGTTAAGAGTAAAGGCATTTAGGGAAGAAAAGCCAGTGAAGTATATATTAGATATATGCCTATACTTCAAATAACATTAAATCATTTCCTGATCCTTGGAGAGAAGTTGCAGAGATTTAAGAGATATGAATTCTATCTCCAATTGTACAGCTATTGTAAGTTGCAGAGATTTAAGAGATATGAATTCTATCTCCAATTGTACAGCTATTGTTATGCCTGTACTTTTACTGCAAATGATTAATAATGTGAAATTAGTCACTGTGGGGAACTAACAGTATGGTAAGTGTCCTCTTTAAATTAGCTCTGAGGAAGAAACATTAATGGATTTCTATTGCTTCAGTTGATTTTTCTTCTCAATTCTCTATACATGTTGAAAGGTTTTGAAGACCCTAGACAATACATTCAGTCTTAGCGGTAAAAAATTAAATAACTGGATAATTATACTTGGAAAAGTTAAATGAAGAGATGAACTGAATATTATAATTTTATGCATCTTTGCTATCAATGACTCACCCCTGTTGATAATTCATAACATTCTGTCATTTGCATATTTTCTCATTGTGCTTTCTTCCAGAAATGTCATACTATTGTGGAAGTATTAATAATTTATTAAAAGGTCCAATTTAAAAATCCTTAAAGGACTAAGACTTGACTATAACAATGATGCATGTACTATAGAGAGCTGAAATATACCATCTTTGTAAATTTGTATTATAATCTAAGGTAAACAAAATCTTAGAATACAGATCTATTAATGTATTGCAGTCCAGGTGCTGAGTTAAGTAGGTAAGTTTGTGAATAATGCAATGTCATTTGACTTTGAATTGCAGATTTGAACATTAGTTTTATTCTGTGATTTTGAAAAACACATATTACATGGAAATAATAAATTTAATTTAACTTAATTTAAATTGCAAAAAATAGAGGTGTGCATTAATCTGGTTATCACACCTGTTCAGAATTTATTACCAGCTCTTCATTTCACGCTTGTGTTGAACGTTATTATCTCATGGGAGAAAGACAAAATATGCTCCTTACTTTGCATTTCCCTTGGAAGGTATGATATATGAGCTCACTGATGAATTAAATTACCACCCTTGGGATATGCAACTCTGTAGACTTCATATAGATTTCCATATAGTAATCCCCATTAGATTACTCTCATTTTTAAAAAAGTAACTTTTAGTGATTCAGGCACATTCAAAGGAGGGGAGAGGGGGTAAAATTTGTATTGATTGTCTACTAGAAGTTATTTCATGTATCTAGCAAAGCAGTCTTCAGCCTTTTTATTTCCATTTTGCAAATAATGCTTGAAAGAGAATTTAAAACATATTATAAGCTTCTTAAAGATTAAAATTAATTCAAATACATTTATGTTAAATCAACTTTCTGTCATATTTCTCCTGACCTTTATGCTTTTATTTTAACAAAGGCAGATAGCCTTCATAAACTAAATATCTGTAAATTAACTCAAATTTATAATTCATAATCAGGATCATTTTTATAACATAGAAATGACTTAAGTTACTGATTGACATTGCTATATTTTAAATGCAAATGTTATGTATTAATCTAACTGTATATACTTTATGTCCCATCTTAAAAATTTGAGATCAGAATAAGGACACAGATCAAGCTTGAAACTAGAGAGCTTTCCATATATTGTTCTAGTGATCACAATGTCTTTTGTAAAAAATTGTCAAGTTGTTTTCTTCAGTTCAGATTAAGTCATTAGTCTGAAGAGTTTTTCGAGAATTGTTAAGTGAGCTACACACATCTTAGAGTATATGAATTGTTTTTTATCCTAGAATCTCTTCAGCCAACTCAAATCAACAACAAAAATTAAAAAATAAAATCCAATAGAAGATAAGGGACTTCCTGCCTCCCTCTATTTTGTAGTAGTTTGTATTGTTTGTTTAACGTATGTATTGATACCCCCTACAAAACATCTTTCTATGCAACCCTTTCATTAGGGAAAGCTGTCTTTCCCATGCATTGACTTCAGGCTTGCCTATGTGACTTTGACCACTGGGTTATAAACTTTAACAGCCATCATATAGTTTGAAATATCCAATTTTCAGATACTAATTTCTTTCTTACTTTAGGTTCTGGAGTCAAGAGTTCATGCCGTTTCTGCCAAACAATAAAAACACATGGAACAACAAAACTTAAACCTTTGTTGAAAAAAAAACCACTAAAATTTGGTATTTTTTCATAGTGACATAACTCAAGCTGATTTATAAAATATTCAATTTATGTTATCTGACAGCATATATTTGCATTCTTTCGACTAAGTTTACTGACATAAAATAAAATTCCAATGTCTTCAATTGGAAAGCAAGATGAGATTTACACATTTACTTTAGATAATACAACTAATTAAAAGCTAAAATGCACTTGCTGATTTGATGGCAAATTTAGTTATACATGATTTTGCTCTATTTAACTTTGGGTAGATTGTGATAAGAAAGAATTGACCACAAACTACATTATTCCCAGTATATCCCTGAATCCTAGAGCATTAGTAGCACTCCTTGATTTATCATTCCAATCTAATTTCACAGAGCTAGTCTATCAGCACACTCACTTTGACGATTTTTAGCTGCAAGTATAGCAATTCATTTATAACATTCTCCAAACAAATTTCAACTTCACTAACAGATTGTGCTTGACTGAGGCTGTTTGTGATCTAAAATAGCTAGGATCCTAACATAAGCTTATAATGAAATGTCTGACAAGACTTTAACATGGGAGTCTCCTAATGATTTTGTAATGTTTTGACAATCTTGAAAATATGTTTTTAAAAGACCTAGCAAATGCAAGTGTTCCCTAAGCAAAATATCCCATCTGTTCAAAAAAATGTCTTAAGATACCAAAAGTACTAACCACAGTGCAGGAATAAGCAGTCGTGTGACTTAATTTCTTTAAATAAATGATCCTTTTATTAAATAAATAATAGGAATTATAGAAACCTTTAAAATCTTGAGTCTGTAATTCAACTGCCCGGTAATCTTTCAAGGTAACTAAGAGAATTGTCAGAGATCCCTCAACTGTAGCAAAGTGTGTCCTGAATGCTCCTATTAGAGGAGCTGAAAAGGATGTTTAAAACCTTATTAGTTTAAAGTACAAAGAAAAAAGGTGAGTTTTATATTAAAGAGTACTGAATATGCTGCCTTTAGACAGCTATTATGAACATTCATCATTTATTGCTCCAGTTGAGGGAATTTTGACAATTCCTTTTACAAGTCACCTTTAAAGCTACTCTGCCAAGCTGATGAGGCCGAAATATTGATTTGAGTTGTCCACATGTTAGCTCAAATGATTGCAAGTCAGCTGGAGTTCTTTGTTCTATTTTGAGTTTTCCATCTGTATTACCTCAAGAAGGTTACAGTGAACACTTTCCTTTTGTAGATGATACATAGGTTTTTTCAAGATTTCGTTATTTTGCATGCTCTATTTCATATTATAGATATATATGCCTCAACTTATTCATTTCAAATGTAATAAAACTGAGGTCCTGGGAAATAAAATAACCTATATGGTTAAAATAACTGAAAATGTGTAGAGTGAGAATTTCTAATGTCAATTTATTACAATGTCTTGTCTGCCTGCCTGTCTTCCTTTCATTCTTCCATTTGTCTCTTTTTCTATTTCTTTCTATAGGAATGTCTATTTTTTTCTTACAATTTAATCTTTAAACACTAGCAGGCCAGGCGAGCTGGCTCATACCTCTAATCCCAGCACTTTGGGAGGCTGAGGCTGGAAGATCACTTGAGGTTAGGAGCTTGAGACCAACATGGCGAAAACCCATCTCTACCAAAAATACAAAAATTAGCCAGGCATCGTGGCACATGCCTGTTAATCCCAGCTACTCAGGAGGCTGAGGCACAAGAATCACTTGTACTCAGGAGATGGAGGTTGGAGTGAGCTGAGATTGCACCACTGCGTTCCAGCCTGGTGACAGAGTGAGACTCCATCTCAAAAAACAAAACAAACAAAACAAAATGCTAGCAAATAAAAGTGTACCTATCATCATGAAGTATAAAATAGACACATAAAAATTTATTTTGATTTAAATTTATCTCTATTTTTAGCAATTTAAGAAAAATTTGAATATACTTTATTTAGATAAGACATATTTATTAAATTAAAAATAAATATTTATCTCATTTTAAGGCTTCATTTTAGCTAATATATTCAGAAGGATTAATATTTTTGTTTACTTTATATGTTCACAGACAATCACATTTGGATTTTAGGCTCTCTCTAACCATGTTAGCAATGTTACAATCAGAAACCTAACTAAATAGCAAATACCAACCGCCATTGGTGGTTTTGCATTGGTAGCTTCTGATTGCTGTTTCAGATAGCAACACTGATGTTCAAAGGTAGATTTACCATGAAGTTAATGGGTCTTAAGCTACAGGGTCCCTCACTTATTAAGACTGCTTCTAAATTAACAATTTTTTTTTTTTTTGAGATGAAGTCTTGCTCTTTCTCCAGGCTGAAGTATAGTGGCCTGATCTTGACTCACTGCAACCTCCACCTCCCAGGTTCAAGGGACTCTGCTGCCTCAGCCTCCTGAGTAGCCGGGATTACAGGCATAAGCTACCATGCCAAGCTAATTTTTGTATTCTTTTTAGAGATGGGAATTTCACCATCTTAGCTAGGCTGGTCTTGAACTCCTGAACTCAAGGGATCTGCCCACCTTGGCCTCCCAAAGTGCTGGGATTACAGGCGTGAGCCACCACGCCCAGCCTAACAATCATTTTTATACCTAATTTTATGATTATACATTATTCTTATTCTGAAAGAAGTTCCTCAAATTACAATGTTTTACACTCCAAAAGTTTGAATATCCCTTTAATTATTCTATGTATTAATACAAATTAAAAATCTTTAAAGCCTTTCTAATGTGTGCCCCCTTTCTCTTACAGTTATGATCAGTATTTGGTTATTTTAAAAACTGATTCAAAAAGAGGAATGTTCATGTAATTTACAGTTCAAATCAGGTCACTTTTAAGAGGTAGGATAAGCTAGGTTTATACCAGACAAACTGGAATATATAATCTCTTGATATAAGCTAGAATGTGAAAAAATTGTATAAAAATTCAGCATTTGATTGTATCGACAAACAAAAGAGAAGTTTCAGGAGGGCCTGACAAATGGTTTCAAATATTTGAAGGTTGAATGAATTAAAGGTGTACTTGTGTTGTGTCTCTTGTAAATAATACAAATTCAAGAATTAAATTTGAGTTCAACATAAGAAAGAACTGCCTGTTCTCCTTTCTCCTGTTTCTTTTCAGAATTAAAACTACCCAACAGCAGAAAAATCTTTCTTGTGAACCAGTATTTACTTTGTCACAGGAAATATTTTCACAGAAATAAGATGACCCATTAAAAGATAAATAATGATGAGATAACTGCATTGGCTGGAAAAGGTTTTGTGAATTATACAATTGGAAGTAGATGACATAGTGGTTAATAGCTTTGCCTCCACTGTCAAACACACTGGATTTGGATTTCAACATTTTACTACAAAGTCTAGAATTTCTGAAAGGACATAGAAATTCATGTCTAGACAATGCTAACATTTTATTCATATCATTATAACATTATTTCAAAATGTTAACATTAACATTTTATTATTTAGACCTAAATAAAGTGCCCGAACACTCGCACTCATGGATGCTAAAAATGATCATTTTCTATCTAAGAAGCAAAATTTTGGAAGGTATATCCTTAAGTTTGCCTTGGGAAAACACACACACACACACACACACAAAATTATCCGGCTTAAGAAAATAAGGAAATGTCTCATCTCACATGAAAGAAATGTAAAGTAAAGGCTCTAAAATAATTAGCTAATTTTGGATTCCTGGTCAGCTTTCACAAAGTCATCTGCATCCGTATCAGAAATTATAAACTCCTGTTACCATCTGGCAGATGTTTGATCATGTCAGTTTATACTGAAAAACATGTACACATGAGTCGTTAAACTGTAGTATCAATAGGCAGCACAAGTACCTGGTATAGCCCCTCTCATTAAGGAGAAGAAAGCATGTTATGGAAATGGAAGAAAACATTGAGATTCCAAGGCTGTTCACATTGCCCAAAGGTATTTTAAATTTGGTAATGAAATCTTCTTAGATAATACAGTATCTCTTTTGTAATTGAACATGAATGTGTTTCCACAATCCTGAATAAAACTCAGAAAACTGTTACATTTACTATCCCTAAAACCTATCCATATTAGTAACATTAACCTAAGTTAGTTTGAGCTTTACATTTTCATTTTATAGCATTCCATATATTTTAAGCTCAATAAATAAAACAAATCATACCAAATGTTTGAGCTAATTAAGATTATATGGAGCCTACCATCATTCCTCTTGTATCCCCACATACTCTTGAGTCTTAGGTTGCAAGGCCAGGAAGGAAGCCTCTGATATCACATAGCAGATATCTGGAGGATGCTAAAAATATTTGGGTATAAATGATCCCTTGCTACTCGTATTATTCTGAATAGATAATTGAAACACAATTGTCAGATCATAGTATAAATGTCTTCAAGAAGGAAATGAGCCATTTATTTAAATAGTCATTTATATGTTTATTTACTTATATATGCATTAATATGCTTACATATGTTTGTGTGTGTGTGTGTAACATAACAAACATGAGAATGTTCATATCTCCAGAAATGAAGCATCATCATTGTGATTCTATTTATTTTCATAATTTTTTAAGTACAAACTATTTCAAAGTTGCATAAAAGTATAAAAACAAGTAGATCTATTTGAGAATACAAATTCAGAAAAGGTAAAACAGATACAATTTGCCATCTATGTAAAATATGCAGAATGTAAATAATCACTTTATTAGTACTGTAACTTGACAGTAAACTGTAGATTATTTCTCACTTGCATCGTTTGTCTTCTTTCTATTATGTATAAGCATATTTTTAATTGACATACGTACCTTGATGAGTATGTATATATTCAATATGTGTACAGATGCAATTATTCTCTACAAAGGTAAAAGCTACATTACTTAAATCTTTACAATACAATCAATTTTCAAGTTATTATAGTGTCTTTACAACATTGAATTGACACAAAGTTTAAATGTTTTGAAAAAGCAGTAACTATATAAGCAAGTTTCTTTGGAATTTATGTATAATGGTCTGTATTTTCTTGATGATTTTTACTCTGTTTCAATCGCATTGGAAACAAAATAACTATAAGCTTTTAGTATCACATTCACTATTAAAGGGGATACAATTCATTCACTATTAAAGGGGATACAATTTTGTTTTTATTAATTTATTTTTCTTCATTCTCTTTTTGCATGCTGTTTCTTATTGTTGTTTTATTATACTGTAGTAATTCATTGATATGTGGAAAAGGCATTCCCCTCTCATCGTTATAATAATGATATTTTATAGGCTAGTTGACAGAGATCAAACTAGCATTCTTCCATGACTCCTCTCTTTGTTGATCCTGTGTGTCTGTGTTCTAGTTATCAGGGCCTGATGGGACCTAATTTGATTTCTTGCTTCACTTTTTTTTTTCCTTTTTTGAATTAAACTGAGAGTATGGTTTTTTTATTAAAATAATTTAGTTGATTAGTAATTATTTGGAAAGACAAGCGATTTTTAACTTATATTTTAGGGACAGTGAGTCAATTCCATTGAATTCCTTTTTTTTTTTTTTTCTTTTTGAGACTGAGTCTTGCTCTGTTGCCCAGCCTGGAATGCAGTGGTGCGATCTCGGCTCACTGCAAGCTCTGCCTCCTGGGTTCACGCCATTCTCCTGCCTCAGCCTCCCAAGTAGCTGGGACTACAGGCGCCTGCCACCATGCCCTGCCAATTTTTTGTATTTTTAGTAGAGATGGGTTTTCACCATGTTAGCCAGGATGGTCTCGATCTCCTGATCTCGTGATCCGCCCGCCTTGGCCTCCCAAAGTGCTGGGATTACAGGCTTGAACCACCGCGCCCGTCCCCATTGAATTCTTAAAGCAACAACATACTTACAACTGAATGGGAAATACTTCGGGCACTCTCTGATGATTTGATTGGTGTTAGAAGCTGAGGGGAACTTTAACAGAGAAACAAGATGGCTCTACTGTGAAACATATTCAGTGTTACCCAAATTGTGATTATGGGAAGTGAAAATATGAAAATTCTTAAAAAATATTTTCTATTTTTATTCTTTTGTGTTTCTTTTTTGTTTGTTTTTTTCTTAGGACCAAAGTAAAAAGTTTAATGAGTTGTCAGAAATAAAGAAATATGTCACGCCTCAGAATTTTGGAAGAATTAGGAATTTTAGGCATTATCTATAGAATCACTTTATTTGTAAAGTAAGAGGACTGAGTATCCAAGAGTATCTTATATCTGACATTCATCCTACCAATGGAGCTCTTCAGAACAACTTCTGACTCTGACATTACCCGTTGTTTTAAATATATTTTTTCCCATTCATTCCTCAGTTGTAATGCTACTTAGTTGATTGACACAATTCTGTTTCTATCACTATTAAGGGAAATGAGTATTTACAATCCACCTTGAGATGGTTATTTATTTCTTCCTCTAAAACATGACTTAACTATACTCACAGCCTCATGGTTATTAACTGTAGTTCTTCTCTCTTGAGTAGCAAAGCAGACAGGATTTTAAATGAGGCAATTGTTTTCATTTTTGTTTGTTGACTAATAGAATTAATTAATCAGACTCAGTATCATTAAGTATAATTTTAATAGTTACATTTATTTAATCCAGGAAAAAAAACATTTAGTAAAAGTCTGGATCTATATTTTTTAAAAAAGAGAAAAAATTCAAGTAAACCACATGGATTTCCAAATACTGCTAAAGAACCCATAAGATGTATAATTATCCATGCTTGGTTTGCCTATAATTTTCTCATTAACCTTTCTTGTCTCAGCCCATTATAACTGGTTTAGATGTATTTACAATGTTTCAGTATACTTACTTTTGTTTCTACTTGGGAATTTTCTTTTTACTTTGTATCAAATGTTTCTGGTCTGAAAGTGATCAGCCTCCACTGTTTTCCACTCAATTTGCTTTTGAGCAGCATCGTATCTGAGTCCTTGTGAACGCATTCAATTATTATTGTTTCTAAGACACTGGTGCATACATACTTCGTTCTTTGCAATGCCTCTCATTGTCCCCTCTGGCTTCATTGAAGTAGTTTCCTTCACCTAGTCTCTTCCCTGATTTTGGTAGCCAGGCCTGTGATGCCAAGATATCTGTCCTAGAAAACTTCTCAGTATGCTCAATCCACAAAATATCTTTTCCTGAAGGTTTAGTCATGCATCACCAGCCTTGAAATTTTAAGGATGGTCTTAACACTCAGAATATAACCAGCATATGTCTTTAAATGTTATCATATGTAATAAATTATTATTAGCTCAGAATTAACAGATAAATATGAATTCTTCATCTTTGTATCCTAGTAATAAGCACAATGCCTGAAATGTAGTTGGTATTTAGTAATGCCTGTTGAAAGAAGGATGCCTTGAATGAGCCATGAATCATGTAGTGTTTTTTATTCACATGCAGAGATGATATTTCAGAATTCTTTTCTAGTAGATATGTTTCACTTTAAGATTCTTAAGTTTTCTTTAAACTGTACCCTTAAGCTTATGATTAAGTGGTGCTTCAGAATTTAAATGTGTTCATATTAGCTCCCATAATATATAGACTTGTCTACCATGAATATTTAGGAACCTAGATACATGAAATGGCAGATAGTGTTATTTCATTATGATATATTTCATTTATCCAGAGGCAGTAAAATAAAAGCATGCCATTTTGTAAAGCAGGCTTATGAAACCATCTATATTATTTTGCATTTTTATTGCTCTATTCCTCTAAGGAGCTCAAGATGCTCTATCGAAAGGTTTTTTACTATAATGATAAACTGCCCAGAATACCTTTGACACAGGTAAACATGCATAAAGTCATACCTAAGGCTGCTTTCTCTATTATAAATTTATTCTGTGTTAAGAAAAAAATGGGAGCACTTAATCACTTGAAAGTCTAAGGCAAAACTGTTGAATTCATCATAGAATGTCCCTAAAAAAGTCGATAGCAAAGAACATTTCTTACTGTTTTACACTAGCAATAATTTGTTTTTGTTTTTTTGACCCTATAGATTTACTGGAAAGGGGGTAATGATGTTTAGTTCAATTTTGGTATTATAAATTTGCCCAAATTTTATTAATCTTTACATAAAGATACAACAAATATGTTAAGAGCTCATAAGTTCTAATATTTTATAAAGTATGTGCAAAAGTAATTTTAAAAGTAGATTTATGCAAAAATTATTATATTTGTTATTTCATATGCTATTGGTACTTTATGATATTATTCCTATAAACACTAGGTAAACAAAAGTAATCTTTTTAGTAGTCATTTTTATTTAAAAAAAAGGTGCCGTACAGAGAAAAACTTTGAGAACGCTGGGTACATGGGACTTTTATGCAGTACTGTAGGAAAGCAACATGGGAATTTAAAAATCATAAAACTATTCAAAAATTCTTTTCCTCATGCATACAGACATTTTTCAAATTTTATAAAGGTGGAAAAGCTAAAGATACACCAAATGTTCAGCAATAGAAAGCTGATTAAGTAAATATAGTCACTTAATAAAATAGTATGGAAGTTATAGTAATAACAGTAATCTCAAGAATGATCAGAATACATATTGCTAAGTGAAAAAAATACAAATACAAATTTTACTTATACTATCACTAAAGTATTGTAGACATCTTATGTGCCCACTAACACAAATTGGAAGAAATTACTCTGTTGCCCAATCTGACTAATTACAGAATCAATCTTTTCTATTGAACTCCATACCCATTTGGCTACCACTCCATATCAGTTCAATACAGTGTCTCTAAATAGACTGCTTTTGCTATAGTTTTATACATTTTAAATTCCATAGCTTGAAATGAAGTTTCTCCATTTGCTGTTCTTGCCTACCTCTCCACTCTAATTTCTTCCCACTTCAACAAAACACTTCAGTTATAATAAATAACTTGTGATTTCATGAAAATACGATGTATTTTTATAATTTGGGGATATTAGGCATATTATATCTGCTCTTTGCAGTACTCCTCTTTCCTCTTGTTGAGCGAGCCAACACTGGTCATATTCTAGAATTCTACTCAAGTGTTTACCTCCTCTTGGCAGCTTTCTTGCCCCATACTGTCCAACACAGTAGTTGTTAGATATTTCATTGGGAGCTACAATGACATCTTGGGAAGTTGTTATATTATATCATTCCATATATTTCTAAGGTCCAGGATTGAAGCAGTACTTAGCAACCACCTACACATTTTTTAGCATTATTAAGTTAAATAGCAACAAATAGAAATAGTTGCATGTCTTAGTATAGTGCATTATTGCTAAGAGATTTTTTAAATGTACTTGTTATACTGTGGTTTTTTTTAGTATAATATTAATTGTATTAAGTATCTTTTTTTAATATACTTTAAGTTTTAGGGTACATGTGCACAACGTGCAGGTTTGTTACATATGTATACATGTGCCATGTTGGTGTGCTGCACCCATTAACTCTTCATTCAACATTAGGTATATCTCCTAATGCTATCCCTCCCCCCTCCCCCCACCCCACAACAGGCCCTGGTGTGTGATGTTCCCCTTCCTGTGTCCATGTGTTCTCATTGTTCAATTCCCACCTATGAGTGAGAACATGTGGTGTTTGTTTTTTTGTCCTTGTGATAGTTTTCTGAGAATGATGGTTTCCAGCTTCATCCGTGTCCCTAGAAAGGACATGAACTCATCATTTTTCATGGCTGCATAGTAATCCATGGTGTATATGTGCCACATTTTCTTAATCCAGTCTGTCATTGATGGACATCTGGGTTGGTTCCAAGTCTTTGCTATTGTGAATAGTGCCTCAATAAACATATGCGTGCATGTGTCTTTATAGCAGCATGATTTATAATCCTTTGGGTATATACCCAGTAATGTGATGGCTGGGTCAAATGGTATTTCTAGTTCTAGATCCCTGAGGAATCACCACACTGACTTCCACAATGGTTGAACTAGTTTACAGTCCCACCAACAGTGTAAAAATGTTCCTATTTCTCCACATCCTCTCCAGCAGCTGTTGTTTCCTGACTTTTTAATGATCGCCATTCTAACTGGTGTGAGATGGTATCTCATTGTGGTTTTGATTTGCATTTCCCAGATGGCCAGTGATGATGAGCATTTTTTCATGTGTCTTTTAGTTGCATATATGTCTTTTTTTGAGAACTGTCTGTTCATATCCTTTGCCCACTTTTTGATGGGGTTGTTTGTTTTTTTCTTGTAAATTTGTTTGAGTTCATTGTAGATTCTGGATATTAGCCCTTTGTCAGATGAGTAGATTGCAAAAATTTTCTCCCGTTCTGTCAGCTTATGTAGAAAGCTGAAACTGGATCCCTTCCTTACACCTTATACAAAAATTAATTCAAGATGGATTAAAGACTTAAATGTTAGACCTAAAACCATAAAAACCCTAGAAGAAAACCTAGGCAATACCATTCAGGACATAGGCATGGGCAAGGACTTCATGTCTAAAACACCAAAAGCAATGGCAACAGAAGCCAAAATTGACAAATGGGATCTAATTAAACTAAAGAGCTTCTGCACAGTATACTGTGTTTATAAAACAACAAAAATTTACACTTAAACTTCAGTGACATATACATGAAATATTATTTAACTGCAAAATCCAAACTGGTCAGAATAGGTCAAAATGAAAAAAAAAATCTATATAACCTGAAGGAATTATACAGAATATTCATTTTGATAAAGTAACAGTTTTTTTTATAATATACCAAAGCCATTAAATAATTAGGTGTGAACCAAATGTGTGCATGATGCATACAGACAATTATAAAATGTTGACGACAGAAATCAAAGAAGTCTTAAATTAATGGAGAGATATACGACATTTATAGACTGGAAGACTCAAAATTGTTAAGATGTAAATCCTCCCCCAGATTGATCTACAGATTAAACAGTCATAATTTAAATCTCAGAATGGATTCTGGTAGAAATTTATAATTTAAGCTTAAAATTTACATGAAAAACAAAGGATCTAGACCAATAGTTTTTAATAAATGAACAAGGTGGATACCTCATACTATTATTAAATAGTAAGTGATTTCAAGGATTACTATATAGAGCCACAATAATAAGTATACAATGGTTTTATCCTAAAGATTGACAAATCTGTCAATAAAGCAGAGTCAAAATACTTCCACATATATATGGGCAATTGATTTTTGACAGGAAGGTCAAATGGAGAATGGATGAACTCTAGAAAAACATGGTATATGAACAATTGGATATCCATATGCAATTTCTGAGAGAGAAAGAGACAGAGAGAGAGAGAGAATGACCCTTGCTTGACCCATTATGGCCACTGTGTGTGTGTGTGTGTCTGTGTGTGTGTGTGTATAATACATATACAGTAACACAGTGTGCAATGTAGGACTAAATTTAAACAATAAAACTTCTAAGAAAAAAACATAGTAGAAAATGTTTGTTACTTCAGGTAAGGCAAAGATTTTAGGTACAAATCCCAAAGCAGGACTGATATAAGAAAAATTTATAAATTGCCCCTCATCAAAATTAAAAAGCAAACCCTTGGAATGGAGGAGTTAAGAAGGATAAATCACATAATGACAGTAGTAAATGCAAACATGAAATTGTTTTGTCTATCTCTAAATAAATAAAACTTTTCATTTATTTTATGACCTTTTTAAAATTCTACTGGTATAGTGCACAATCAATGATATCAGATTATATTTCAGTACATTTGGGAACTGGTTATGTTAAGTACAAAGGCTTAGATCATATATTCCACTATCAAAATCAGGGATAAGCAGTAGTTTTCCTAATGATCCAGATAGTAATTATTTTAGGCTTTGATGGCCATAAATTTCTGCTACAATTCAACTGTTGTTGGAGCTCAGAGCAACCATACAAAACAGGTAAACAAATAGACTTATCCAGTGGATCCCTATTAAACTTTATCTATGAAAACAAGTGGCTAGTCTAGCCTCATATTTTGTCAAATACCAATACAAAATCAATCATAGCCATGGAAAATCTTTTTTAGGTTACTGCTAAGTAACATAAAATCATAAAAATGGCTTGCCACTTTGAATATTGAAGGTTTTTGTAGATACTCTCTGTTTGTTCATGGGTTTCTGTTTGCCAGATTGATTGTTTGCTTTTGTTCTTCACGTATTGCAGTGAAAAGATGCTAAACCACAACTTCAGTTTTACACTCTCATTCTTCTACTTATTAAATTTGGTTAGAATCACTGAAATTTTCTGAATTTCACTTTCTCCTGCAAGTGGAAAATGTAATAATCATGAGGATTAAAGGAAATTCAAAGATCACTTTGAATCTAAAATTTATTACACATATATAGCATTGCTTTTGCTGCCTCATTCCCTACTCATTCTTCATGGTTGCTTCACTTCCAAGTTTGACTAAACTCTACTAAAGATCCTGACCAATAGCATTACCATGCATCCACCTTTCCTTTGAAGGAAGGACATTCTGCATTGATACAACTGTTACCCAAATGTTAGCATTTGGATAGCATTCTAAATTGCATTCTAAGTAGCATTCTAAGTTGATTTCTCTTTTCTAAGTGTTTTCCTTTGGTTGAAGCAATTGTTTCCTCCCATGCTACCAAAGTTGTCTTGCACAAACTCATTATTCAACTGCTGTTAAAATGTGGTGATTTATTACTGCCTGTGCATAGAAACTCCTTTTTGTGGTAGATAGGAGAACACTTCGCTTTTCAGCCAAGTGCTCAGTGTAACCCCTACCGTTTCGTGCTCCTGGGCACTCCACATGGAGAGGTCTCATCTGGTATATAGTCGTATACCTTGCCTCTACCTCCCTTCTTCTCTTGACACTCTGGAGAAGCAGCCAGGCACAGCTCCTGTAAGTCCAATTCGTTGTGTGTCTCTGTCTACGCTCTATAGGTGTCACACCAAAGACCAACCTTCTGGCCTCAATAATGATTTTTGAAGCTGCTATGGCCATGTGCATGTTGGTAACAGATGTATATATAAATTATCCTCATTACTATTGTACCCCCCACACAAGTAAAGATTATTTTTTCTTAAAAAGAAAGTGTATCTTGGCTGTGCACTGTGGCTCAGGCCTGTAATCCCAGCACTTTGGTGGTCCATTAGGTGAAGAGATAGAGACTATTCTGGCCAACATGGTGAAACCCCATCTCTACCAAAAATACAAAAAATTAGCTGAGTGTGGTGGCATGCGCATGTAGTCCCAGCTACTCAGGAGGCTAAGGCAGGAGAATCGCTTGAACCCAGGAGGTGGAGGTTGCAGTGAGCTGAGATAGCGCCACTGCACTCCAGCCTGGCGACAGAGCAAGATTCTGTCTCAGAAAAAAAAAAAAAAAAGAAAGAAAAGAAGAAAGAAAGAAAGAAAGTGTATTTTAAGGTTTTAAAGATAAAAAAACTTAAGCTCTTTCTCATCGTACATAGAATCTTGGCACACATTAACTTAAAAATCTTATCTCCTACCACTTTCCCCTTCCCTATTTCATGTTTGTGTGTCCTATATTCTGGTTACTCCAATATACCCCTTATTCTTTAAATAAGCCATGATTATTTATGTTCACTCTGTGCTTTTCCCTATGCCCTTCAGATTTCTTCCTATTTTGATGCTACTTCTTGTGTAAGACTTATTTGTACGTATCCTTGGAGTGAACATTCATATTTTCTCTTCTGTGTAACACTTTGTACTTATCTATAAATGAGGACTTTCTAATATACTCTCAATTTTATAATCTGACGTCCACCACAAATCTATTATCTTCTTAGCTCAGCCCGATGTAGTCTTCTTTTTATCGATATTTTCTAGTTCAAAGCCTGGAATAGAGTAGAAATTCAGGAATATCTGGTAAAAATGAATTAAAATTATGAAAAAGACAAGATTTTGTCTCATAGAAAAACACTACTGTAGCATTTTCAGCTTTAGTGTCTTTCTCTACATTTTCTCGATTTATAAGAAATGATTGCTAATAACTTTATAATAACTTTTGGTAACTATATATATTCTATTCTTGATATCACTGGAGCTGTGAGTTTAAACATATTCAAATAGTTCAAGTTATCCATTGCTCACATATTCTTTATTCTCCTTAGAAATTGTGCCTTCTTATTCCTTATATATCTTCCTTGGGTTTTCTTATATGAGTTGACAGTTCAGATAATGACAGAAGGAAAAAGAAAACTGAAAGTTACTGCCTGTTTAGTGCCATCTGCTATTATATTTCCTTTTGCTAGTTGCTCAAGGAGCAGCTTTTTAAAATTTAATTTTGGCAATACTTTTCTATACGTTTTCAGCATCCTTCCCCCTTCCTTTTTTATATGCTGCATATCTCTGATTTGGCTTCTCAAATATATTGCTTCATTTTCTACTCTGAAAAAGGTTTAAGATTTCTCTAATGCCAGTCACTTGTCAACTTTGAAAGGAATCTAGACCTAGATTGGAAAATGTTTAAGAATTAGTCTAGACATACAGGTCAGGGTAATTGAGATGCCTCTGCTTTCTGCATCCTTTCTGTCATCTTGGTTTCCAAAGATTTAAAACACAAAGGCCATTAGAGTAAGTATTACTGGGAACATAATTTTCCTTGAATCCTTTTGTCTTTCCTATCCAGTAACTTAGCTATATTATCAAAAATGCCTCAAATTTCACAGCCGTAAATGAGCACAGTATCCCTGAGAGCACTGAATATCAGCCAAATAATGCCATTTTGCTACTATGGGTTCTACCTCCATTTTTGGATGAGTTAATTTACTAAAAGTAGAAAACTAAAAGCTATATATGCTAAAATATTTATTGCAAAGTATATTTTTATATTTTCTGATCTTTTCTAAGACATAAGTTACACACACCAGACACACACACACGCAAAATTTGTTTCATTGTACTACTTTACATTTTCCCCCATTATTTGCTTGGCTAAATTTGATCTTCTCTAACAGATCTCCACCTGCCCTGCGCCCCTTTCCTCCATTAAAATGATAAGTTCTAGAAGCCCAAGAGGACTCTTTGTAGAGGAAATTGACATGAGGATAAAAGGGAGTAAAACCAATTCATAGAGAAATTTCAAAACCAATTCAGGAATTTCAAACTTCTTCAGAAAAGAAATGAAAAATTAGTAAGTATTTGTTCAGAGGAAAAGATTTAAGCAAACTTTTGAAGTTGTTGTGAATGTGTAGGAAGAACTGGAAGACAGACTAAAATTAAGGGATGTCAATCAGACAGATGAGGGGTAGCTATATGAGATGAAATAGTATACACATTCTATCTACTGCTATAATAATTTTAACTAGACTGATGATAGGTAAAAGAAAAAGATAAAGGGTCTAAATATGTTTAAATTAATTTGGAAATTAATTAAATGTGAGAGGAAAGGGGCAAGAAGAGATAAAAGATGCCTCCTAGAAAGAAAAAGGGAGCTATATTTTTAGGGTCATTATGTGCCTTATACTGAAATAAAAGAGATTTTCCTAACCCATTTCAAGATCTCCTTTTATTAAAAAAAAACTTACTGTAATTCTTGATCTACACAGAAATACTTGTAAGAAAGATAATTAGAATAATATAGGTTTGAACAATGTACAGATAGTGACATAAGATGTCATTTGAAATGGTTAAAATTTTAGGTAAATTTAAAGAAAGTTGATTTAAACTTAGCGCTGCTTCTCTTAAAATAAATTATAATGATCATACAATTATGGGTTACAAAAGTAATACCACTCAAATGTGCATTTTACAATACAGATGATTTAGAAATATTTTAGCTGTCAAGCCTAAAAATACAATGGCATTTTAACAATTTGTATAGTAATAATGTATACACATTGACACAATGCACAGGTCATGAGTAAAGGTTGCTTACTTGTCACACAATCAATATATCTAGATAATCAGCACCCGGGTCAAGAAATAAAATGTTATCAGCATACCAAAATCACTCTTCAGTACTTCTGTCAATAACTAACTTCACTCATTTCTCTAAAGGTAATAAAATCCTGTCTTCTATTGCATAGACTTGTTTTGCTTGTTTCTTTGAAATTCATACAATTGGAACCATTTGTTCTTTATTTATTTTCAATTACATTAAGTTTGTGAATGATCCATGACATTGTATGTAGCTATAAAAATGATTAAAGCTAAAATAATAGAAAAAATAATGAGTTTTAAAACTTACAAACATCAATGAGACAATTTATGGCTATATTTATATGTGTGCATTGGACAAGGGTACATGTGTTTTTATCTTAAGATACACCTTAGTCTGGGCCGGAAATGGTGGCTCAAACCTGCAAATTCCAGCACTTTGGGAGGCTGAGGCAGGAAGATTGCTTGAGGCCAGGAGTCTCAGACCAGTCTGGGCAACATGGTGATACTGTTTCTTAAAAAAATTTTAAGTATTAGCTGGGCATGGTGGTGCATGCCCCTAGTCCCAGCTCCTCTGGAGGCTGAGATGGGAGGATCTCTTGAGCCCAGGAGTTTGAGATGGCAGTGATCTTTGATCGCGGCCCTGCATGCCAGCCTGGGTGGCAGGGCGAGAAAGTGAGACCCTATCTCTTATAGAAAGGGGGAAAAAAAGGAGAGAGAGAGATACACATTAGTCTGAAGTGGATTTTGTTGGGTCTACTTATCTAAGCTGGAAATACATTATGCATAATTTGCTTTCCTGCAGCGTTCTGGATTAGAGTCAGCCACAAGAGACGTGCATGCATTACGATTTGGAAGGCAAAAGTACACCAGCACTTATTTTCTTGTCACATTCAGAAAATTGGTGCGAGGCACCAGGCACACTGTGGCTGTTCAAGCATATTGTTGCTGATATTCTGACTCCTTGTGGAAGTAGAGCGGCATCCAGCTTTACAGAGCATCAGCCAGATCTTTTTTTTCACTTTCTCTGAATCATGGGCAGGCAGGTGCGGCTGCTGGAGCAGGGGAATGGGCCTGCAGTTTATTTAGCTCCTGTCAGATTCCTAGCTCCAACTGCTCTAATTGCAGGGCTAGGTGTATGTTTAGCTCTATGGCAGGAGGTGCCAGCTTCTCCTGCATATCTCAAACTTCAGCAAAAGCTGGCAGCTTGGAGGTAGTGAGACACAGAGGTGAGATCCAGTTCATCAAGGCGAGTTCCAGTTTGTCTTCGCAGTCTTCTAATTCATGTCTGTCTTGCCTTCCCCACTGCTTGGCCTGCTGATTTTAGGCCTGGCCTCAGATGCAGACACCACAGCCATACACACACACTGTATAACCACTTTCCAAAATTACCTGAGGTCAAATCCTTGTAATAAATCTGTTATTCTGCAACACTCTTAGTTAGTGGTCCTGCTTCTTTAATTACTTACTATTCTGGGGCAATTAGTTAATTATCTCAAAACAAAAAAATTTTTAGACATAGTAACACCGTTAAAATCAACTAAGTATATTAAAATATTTCAGATTGCTTATTTCTGAATGGTAAAATTCTTTATAAGTTTAAAGTGCAAGGAAACATTTATACAGATAAACCAATTAAAAGTCAAATGTAAAAATGAAAACTTGTGAACATTTAAATATCATAAATATAAATGCCAGCAACAGATTACAAAAATATTAGGATCTTACTGACAGACCTTAATGTCCTTAGTATGCAAGTTGGATTTGTAAATCAATACAAAATATGAATATCATTTGCTGTACTTATTAGGAAAAGCAAAAATAAGTTAACATTTAATAAATATAATTTCATATGTTAAACTCATTCATTCTAACAAAATTGCAAATTAAAATTTTTTGCCAATCAATTACAAAAAGATTAGGTTAGGAGACAAATGGTTTCTTTGATTGTAGACAAAGTAGTATTAAAGTATATATAGCCATGTGTTGATTAACGGCAGGAACGTGTTCTGAGAAATGTGTCATTAGGTGATTTCATCATTATGCAACATCATGGAGTGTACTTACAGAAACCTAGAGGGTATAACCTACTGCACACCTGGGCTATATGGTATAGCCTATTGCTCTAGGCTATAAACCTATTGTGCTGAAGACTGTGGGCAGTTGTAGTGCAATGGTAAGTATTTGTATACTCAAAACATACCTAAACATAGAAAAGGTACAGTAAAAATACAGTATAGGAGATAAAACATGGTATAGCTGTAGAGAGTACTTATTACAAATGGAGCTTGCAAAAACTGGAAGTTGCTCTAGGTGAGTCGGTGAGTGAGTGGTGGGTGAATGTGAAGGCTTAGAACATTATACTGCTGTAGACTTAATAAACACTGCATACTTACACTTCCCTAAATTTATTTTAAAAAATTCATGTTTTCAGTAATGAATTCACCTTAGCTTACTGTAACCTTTTTACCTTGTAATTTTTAATTTTTTAAATCTTTTTGACTCTTTTGTAATAGTTTAAAACATACATTGTACAGCTCTACCAAAATATTTACTTTCTTTGTACCTTTATTCTGTAAGATTTTTTCTATTTTTAATTTTTTCCCCTCTTAAATTTTCTTAGTAAAAACTGAAACACAAACACACATGTTTGCCTAGGCCTACACCGAGCCAGGATCATCAATATCATTGTCTTCCATCTCCACATCTTGTCCCACTGAAAAGTCTTCAAGGGTAATAACACCCATGGAGCTGTCATCTCCTGAGATAACAACGTCTTCTTCTGGAATTCCTCCTGAAGGACCTACCTGAGACTTTTTTACAGTTAACTTTTTATTTAAATAAGTAGAAGATGAACATTCTAAAATAATGATAAAATATATAGTATAGTAAATACATACATCAATAACAGTCATTTATTATTATTATTATTATTTTTGAGACAGAGTCTCCCTCTGTCTCCCAGGCCAGAGTGCAGTGGCGCGATCTCGGATCACTGCAAGCTCCGCCTCCCGGGTTCATGCCATTCTCCTGCCTCAGCCTCCCGAGTAGATGGGACTACAGGCGCCCACCACGACGCCCGGCTAATTTTTTTGTATTTTTAGTAGAAACGGGGTTTCACCGTGTTAGCCAGGATGGTCTCGATCTCCTGACCTCGTGATCCACCCGCCTCGGCCTCCCAAAGTGCTGGGATTACAGGCGTGAGCCACTGCACCCAGCCTATTATTATTATTTACTATACATAATTGTAAATGTGTGATACTTTTATACAACTGACAGCTCATAGTTTTGTTTTCACCAGCGTCATCGCAAACACGTGAGTAATGCATCGTGCTGTGACATGACTATAGCAATGAAGTCACTAGGCGACAGGAATATTTCATCTCCATTATAATCTTATGGGACCCCTGTTAGATAAAGGGTCATTCATTGATCAACACGTCCTTATGCTGCCCATGACTGTAGCTGAACTTAACACCAGTTATAGTAAAGAACATGAGCAATAAGCGGCCTCAATAAATTAACGCATTCTATTATGTGCAAGCCATAAGTGGGCTCAAAAATTAGCACATATATAACACATCAATGTTACCACTATCAAGAGTGAGAGTTGGAGTATAAGAAGCATCTCAGAATGTCCCTCTATTCCTTCTAATCACTGCATTCTCACTCCGCCCAAGATACCACTCTCCTAACTTCTAACATCATAGGTAAGTTTTCTCCTTTGGATAACTTGACATAAATGTAGAAAACCTATTACTGACATAAAAGAAGAATGAAAGAAGATTCTTTACTGGGGAAAGTTGTGCGGGTTCAACAAATCACTGCTAAATTATGGAAGGAAGTTCAATAATTTTTACATTTGTTTAGGCCGAAACTGTCTCCTTCATGATTTGTGGGAAACAATCCTGGCAATTATTGTAGTACATTTAACAACGATTAAGTAGATTTAAATTTCCATTTTCTTACAAGTACTTTTGGTTGTTTCCAAGGGTATTGGAGGCCAACATCCACATGAAATGTGTCCATCTGTTTAAGCATACGTGCCAGGCAGCTAAACTTACAGAACGACCAGTCAGGCCCCCTCAGGATATGTATGTATTTATTTTTCTTTTAAATAAGCAAATCAGACTTCTAGAATATCTTGGTGGTTAATTTTATGTGCCAACTTGACTGTGCTAAGGGATGTCCAGGTAGCCTGTAAAACATTATTTCTGGGTTTGTTTGTGAGGGAATTTCTGGAGGAAATTAGCATTTGAGTTATTAGACTGTATCTGAAAGACCTGCCCTCACCAAGGTGGGTGGACATCATCCAAGATTAAATAGCACAAATGGCAGAGGTAGGGCTCATTCTTTCTTTTGCTTCTTGAGCTGGAAGATCCATCTTCTCCTGCCCTTGGACATAAGAGCTCCTGGTTCTTGGGCCTTTGGACTCAGGGTTTATACTAGCGGCCTCCCATCCCCACCCCCAACCCCTGCTGGTTCTAGAATCTTCAGCCTTGAACTGGGTGTTACATCATTGGCTCCTCTGATTCTCATGCATTTTAACTCAGACTGAATTACCCCACCAGCTTTCTTGATTTTCCAGCTTGCAGGTGGCAGATAATGAGACTTCTCAGCCTCCATAATCATGTGAGCCAATTTTCGTAATAAATCTTTTCATATATGCATATATTTATAAATATATATTGTATCCCTTAAATAGATGACCTATAGACTATAGATCTCAATTTATGGTTTTATTTCTCTGGAAAACTCTGACTAATACACATATAAAGCCTGGCTCTGGTGTGATTTATTTTTTCTTCAATTTTAACATGAAATTGATTAGGAAGAATGTTACATCAAATAAAACAGTTTCATTATACAATGAAAAAGAAACACTGTACTTTTAAATATCAATTGTAAGACATGCAATTTTAAAATAGTTAAAATAGAAACAAAGGTTAATATTCTTTTCAGCTAGATGAACTAAAAGGAACCTGGTTCACTCTCTTATTTAAAAAAACAAAAAAGGGACAAAATATAAGCAACAGTTTTTGAAACACAGGGTATGAGGCAATGAAAGACAATGATTTTTGAGAGAAGGGAAACCAATGAGGGGGTCCTTCAATCTGCCAACGCCTACTACTGTGTTGGGGTGTTTTCTGGCCATGGCTCAATGATGGTAAATTTAGGTAGTCCACATCACAGAAGAGGAGAGATGGAGCTCAGAGTCTGAGGAAGCCAAGGCAGCTAGAATTCACAAAACAAAATATTGAAGAGGAGAAAACTGTGCAGATAAAAAACTTTGGAGATATAAGAGGGTTTCTCTTAATTATTTAGCTGAGTAGAGAACAGTGCATGCATTTGAAGAAACTGAGACCAGGGAAAGAACCACCTGAAGGATTAAAGTCAACATGGTTCATGCTCACATAGGGCCAGTAGAGCCTGGTCTTATCATCCAAACAGGAAATCCTCAAGATTCATGGGGCACTGGGTAGTGTATCAGAAGAACTTGACTTCAGCAGTGAGAATAATTGGCCCTAGACTGAGCGCTACCACCTAACAAATCTTAAAAGAAATAACCAACAAGGTCAAATTGTTTCACATAACTATCTCATAAAAAAGCTGAAGAAAATGTACAGGAATACAGAAGTACTGAGGATCTAAAAAGGTAGATTCACAATGTCTGGCATCCTATACAAAATTATCAGGCATGCAGAGAAGCAGGAAATTATCACCCATAAGAAGAAAAACCATTCATTGTAAACTAACTCAGGACTGACATAGATGTTAGAATAAGACAGGATATTAAAGGTTATTGTAATTATACTCCACAGGTTTAAAAAGTCAAGCACTGACACAAGATATTTTTTTAAAAAACTCAAATCATACTTACAGGGAGCAAAATTATAGTATGTGAGATAAATTGTCCTTATTTGCAGACAACATGATTATCTCCGTATAAAATTCAACAGAGTTTACAGGAAAAAAAAAGCTGCTAGAAATGAGTTTAGCAAGGATGAGAGATAAAAAAAATCAATACATAAAAATCAGTGGTATTTCTATGCACTATTAATGCTACTTGGGAAAAAAGTAGCATTTACAAAAGTATAAAACATGAAACACTTCAGGATAAATACAATAAATAATATTAAAAACCTGAATATTGAAAAATACAGAACAATTTAAGGTACATAAAGAAACATTAATGAATGGAGAGGTAAACCATATTAAAGATTAATGAAAAAACTCATTATTGTTAAGATATCAATTGTCCCCAAATATATCTGTAGATTTAATACAATCCCAATCAAAAGCTCAGTAGACATTTTTTTTTTGGTGTGGAAATTGACAAACTGAATCTAAAATTCATGTGAAAATTAAAAGGAATTAAAATACCTAAATAACTTGTAAAGGCAGAATAAAGTTTAAGGAGTAACACTACCTGATTTCAAGACCTAATAGAAAGTTAAAACAATCAAGAAAATATTAAGTTATTGGCATAAAGATAGAAAAATATTGTCTGGAAAGAAAAGAACTACGATAAAAAGAATAAGGATGTGTTATTATAGAATTTTGCAAGGGGAATATCTTCTCTAAAGAAACTAAAATACTAAAAATGAATAGTAGGTTCTGTCTGGACAGCAGTAGACAAAACAGTGATGATCTTGGCCTTATGGAGCTGATAATGTAGTAGAGATAGCACTGCATAGCTCAGGGAGGTGACTATGATTATACATGAAAAACAAAAAAGAGGAAACAAACCCTTCGCACACAATGGTGTATCTTTAATTAAATAAAAACTTGAATAAATAAAAAACGTTTATCAGCTGTCTTTGAGGATGGAAATTTTTGGAAAAGATTAAACTTCCTTTTATTCAAATGGATAGAACAAAACAATGTATTGATTATCTGGTGAACCCTGGGAACTATTTATTCTTTACGTAAATTGTAGTGCTATCATGTATATTGTTGCTGAGTTTAATGACTATCTAGATGAGCAGAGGATTAAATTAAATTTCATTTATTGATCTTATTCATGAGTGGCTCATAGGTCCTACAGCATAGAAATAGTCCATATAAGGTGAAATTAAAAAAATAAAAGATAGTATTTTGCAGCTGCACAAAGTAGTATTAGTATTTTGCATGCATAAAATGGTTGTAAGTATCTTTAAATTAATATTTCATTCTTCAGTGTTTTAGTCAGTTTAGGCTGCTGTAACAAATGTCATAGATTGGGTGGCTTAAACAACAATTTGCTTCTCATAATACTTGGAGCTGGGGAATTAAGTTCAGTTTCTCATGAAGGCCTCTTCCTGGTTTGCAGTGGGACTACATCTGATTTTCTGTATTACCACATTAGAAGGTGGTAGGGAGAGAAAGATCTGGGGTCTTGAATCCCATTCTGGGACCTCACTCTCATGATCTCATCTAAATGTAGTTACCTCCCAAAGGTCACACCTCTGACCACCGTCACACTGGGGGGTTAAGCTTCAACATTTGAGTGCTTTTTATTTTTATAAATTTAAGGGGTACAAGTGCAGTTTTTTTGTTTGTTTTTTGTTTTTTGCTTTTTTTTTGAGATGGTGTTTTGCTCTTGTTGCCCAGGCTGGAGTGTAATGACGCAACCTTGGCTCACTGCAACCTCTGCCTCCCTGGTTCAAGCAATTCTCCTGCCTCAGTCTTCCAAGTAGCTGGGATTACAGGCATGCACCACTATGCCCAGCTAATTTTGTATTTTTAGTAGAGATGGGGTTTCACCATGTTGATCAGGCTGGTCTTGAACTCCTGACCTCAGCTGATCCACCCACCTTGGCCTCCCAAAGTGCTGGGATTACAGGCATGAGCCACCGCGCCCAGCCCAGTTTTTGTTACATGAACATATGGTGTGTTGGTGATGTCTGGGCTTCTATTGTTACCACCAACCAAATAATGTATATTGTACCCATGAAGCAATTTCTCATCCCTCACATCCCCCCGCCCACCTTCCCACACTCTATGTCCATGTTAGCTCCCACCTGTAAGTGAGAACATGCAGTGTTTGACTTTCTGTCTTTGAGTTGTTTCACTGAAGATAACGGCCTCCAGTTCAACATTCAGTCCATAGCAGGTTTCTATAATTGCTAATGATAGTTGCAAATACTCAAAGCTCATTTGTGTTATGTATTGGACCTCCTGTTGTGGTACTATCCCAGTGTCCAACTGTACCTCTTTCTTTCCTCTTTATGTTGTAACTTTAATGAGTAAAACTTGTGGAAGATTCAATATCTTTTACACAGTAATTAAAATAATCCTACACATGCTACAAGCTATTAATAAATTACATTAAGTAAGGGAAGGGGCAATTGTGTATCAGATATGAAGGAGATAGCCTTAAATATAAATTGATTGTTGATTTTAGAAAATATTTGACCATATTACTGACAAAGCACCTCAAACTTTCTTTAGAGGTAGAAACTTAGCATTACTAAAATACAATATGCATTCCATTTACTGCAGAATTTTCCAATTCATGATAAATTATTAGTACACACTTTGCATTACAACTAGCATGGATATGAAACCCAGACCCAGAAAATCCTTCCCGGTTCGTGGATATGCCTATGATTTTTTTTAATGTCGCTGCTGTTGAACACACACATTACTTTGTCTGTAGTGCCATCCTCACTTCCATTCTCTAACCGATGCTTTCCTACTCATCTTCACATATTTCATTTATTTTGTTTCTAGACAAAGAAAATTACACGTCTCTATTTGCTTTCATTTTCTTTACAAATCATTGTTATAGCATTATTTCATGGTTGTAAATTTTTAACAGCATTTTAATGTGTTGGGGGCTACATAAACGCAGAACACTAGGTTTTGTTAACGTGTGTTTGCTGAAATGTCAAAAGTGTTTCTGGCACAAGAAGTTATACATTCAATGCTATTAGTAGATGGAAAGATTGGCTAAATGATAACTATTGTTAGATGATGTTTGCTAAAGAAACAGTTTGGTAATAAGATTGTTTTTAATACTTGCTTAGATAAGCAGACACATTCCAAGTATTTTGAGGGGAGAAACGTCTATGCTTTTTAGAATATTTAATTTTGAGAAGCATTTCGTAATTTAAATAACTTATTTTTCTGTTTTAGAAATATCTACCAGAATCTTTTACATGTTCCATCTTCCTAACAACTTATTATGTAATTGTGCTCTGAGGGATAGAAAACATCCTTTAAAGATTAGAATCAGTTTATGTATTCAGGTATTTCAGGAAGTTCAACAAGAAGACAGAAAGGAATACATTTAATTAGAGAACTATAGTCATTTCTAGGAGTTTCAGGTAGACATAATTTTTATAAAGCAGCATTTCATAAAAGACAATATGAGACTTCTGTGTAAATAAAAATGATCAATGAAAAAAAAAATACTTTTTACAGTGTAGACCAGGATGTGTATTCAATATAATTACCTAAATATAAACAACAGAATGGAACCAATTTCCAAAACTTAGTCTGTAATTTAGTCAGCATTTATCCACTTTCCTAAGAATCATTATAATAGCCCTACTTTCATTTTATAATATTTGCAAAGGGATGTCTTTTATGCAGAACATGATTGAGCTATTTAGATTAAAACTATAATTACAAATTGCTTTATCAAATTTATAATCCTCTGATGAGAAAAATGAGTTATTTACTAACCATTCTAATGACCTCACTGCTCACATAGACATTTTTGGCAAACCTTCAAGGTAAGTTTCACCAAAATTCAGAAACACATAATATTGTAGTTAATAAGCAAACTAAGCCTGGAATATAAATATATCTATCCAAATAGCAGAATTTTACAGAGATTATGGATGTCTCTGGTTTTATGAGTAGATTCTTTTATTAAAATATTTGTTTTTACATTGAATTATATTAATATTTGAACCATACTTTAAAAATCAAAAGATGATTTAGCCATGTAATAATCAAGTGCAGTGTTTTATTATTTCACCTGCTAGTTTTTCTTCCTCATGTCAAATTCTAATTATGCTCAATGTATTCTAAACATAGGAAGAAAGATAAAGGATTAAAATAGTTATTATATTAAATAATGCCTATCCTTCCCAATTAAATGTAAGTTATTTGAAGTCAAGAATCCTTTTTTGTTTGACTTGGTATTCATAGTTTTTAGAACAATGCCTGGCACATAGCAGGTAATTAGTAAATGCCTTGTTAAATTTCAAATGAAATACTCAAGCAAAATATATAAATGGTATTGCTAATGGAAACAAATATTTTATTTAAAATTGTAATGAAGCTTTGTGGACTCCAAATCATTTTATTACTTGGACAAAATAATTAGCAAATAAAAGTCTGTAGAAAGGAGAAATGGCAGAGTGCTCTTTAATACAAATCTTGTCTTTTATATAAGAACACTTAAATGTCCAAGACTTATAACATGGGTTTTGTTAAATGTTCATAACATGTGTGAATCCTTCATCAATATTTGGAAATAACTCTGAAGAAACATATTGATTTTATTTATATATGCATTTACATTGAGTGTACCATTCTTTCTACACTACTTCAAAGAGAAAATTATTTTTTATTAGAGTATTAATGAGCTTCTTAATACTTACTAATGAGTAAGTAAAATTGGATATCTGAAAATAATGCTTTTCCATTAAAACGTTTGGTTCAGCAAATGAGAGTCTACTTGCTTGTTCAGTTCTGCTCAATTTTGCCTGTTGCAGAACAAACACATTTGGGTTTTAAATATATTTTCTCTAGAATACTTTTAAGCAGTCAGTGATCATCTCCTGGCAATTATCCTCTTCTGCATTTCTAACAAAGTAATTTCAGGTTTCTTTGAAATGTTGTCTTTTTTTTTTTTTTCTTCTATTTAAGTTTGTGATTTGAATTGCATTTTCTGGCTAGGCTGATTCTATTTCCCTGAGTTCACCTCTCCAGTAACATTTTCAAGTGTATCTAAGCTTACATTCCAAGGTCAATAAGATTACTGTCGACAGTCTAAATTCTATGTTAAAAATTTCAGACACAATTGAGAATTGTCATGTTATATTTTTAGCCTAAAGTTGTGTTTATACAGTTTTTTATTCAGATGATCAATTATTTTTAGCAAATATGCCTTTGAAGAAAGCAAAATAGACATTTCATGAATAAATTAATAACCTTATACCTAGAACTTTCATTAACTGATTTCTACTTGTGTTTGTATGCTCTTGCATTGCTATAAAGAAACACCCAAGGCTAGGTAATTTACAAATAAAAGAGGTTAAATGGGCTCATGATTTTGCAGGCTTTAAAAGAAGCAAGATGTTGGCATCTGCTTCTGGTGAGGCCTCAGGAAGCTTACAATCATGGTTGAAGGTGGCAGGCAGCCAGAATCTCACATGGTCAAAGGAGGGGCAAGAAAGAGTCAGGGGAGGTGCCACATTCTTCTAAACAACCAGATCTTGTGAGAACTCACTCACTATCTTGAGGACAGCACCAAGCCATTCATGAGTGATTTGCCGCCATGTCCCAACAGCTCCCACCAGGCCCCACCTCCAACATAGGCAATTACATTTCAACATGAGATTTGGAGGAGACAGATATCCAAATGATATAACTACCATTTTGATTGTGAAGCTCTTCTTTGTTTGACATTAGATGAACAGAAAGAGGAATAGAAACTGTCATTTTTTTTTTTCTTTCTGGGGCAGTGGCTCCTGCCTATAATCTCATCACTTTGGGAGGCTGAGGCAGGAGGATTACTCAAGGCCAGGAGTTCAAGGCCAGCCTGGTAAAAATTGTGAGACTCTCCCTCTAAAAGATAAAGAAAAAAAATAGCCAGGTATGGTGTTGTGCAAGTGTAGTTTCAGTTATTGAGAGGCTGAGGCAGGAGGATTGCTTGAGCCCAAGTGTTCAAGGTTGCAATGAGCCATGATCACACCACTACACTCCAGCCTGGGCTACAAAGCAAGACACTGTCTCCAAAAAGAAGACATTATCATTTTTCAGGATAGGAATATACATGATAGAGAAAACTACATATTAACAACTGACTACAGTAAATGTGTTTCACTATGACATATTGAAAATTCAAATTTAATGTAGTCTCTCCCTGAGATGGTGGGAGGAAAATCCTCAGAAATGTGGTATGATGACTTTTTAAACTTGGATTTCAAGGGTAAGTGCATATACCATCTGTTTTCAAATATTTTATAAACTATACATAACTTAGCACTTGGTCACAAACTCTCTACGAAGAAATGTTTCCATTCGTTATATCAACATTCAGTGCATTAGAGAAAAGGCCAGCATTAGATACAATTGCCCACTCATGAGTGTATAACCTTCTAATAACTAGGAGTTAGGGGAGTAATGGCCTCTGCATGTTATAAGGATATGAATGCGGAGTGGAGAGGGAAGTTTGTTGCACTTTGCATCTTGCATGTTTTAATGATGCTTTCAGCCCAAATTGACTCTAAAATTAGCTTTCATTAAAAAAAGCAACTAATAGGAAAAAACTGGGCCCAATATTGACAAGCCATGATTGAAAAGATTCATTAAAATCTCACATGTCACCAGATACACATCTTGAGATGTGATTCACAGGTCCTAGGAGCACAATCCGCTGAGCAGTGATACGGCTTCAGGGAGATATCAATTTGCTGCCAATCCTTTCTCCTTTTTTTCTTTTGTGCACTAAACTCAATAAATAGTGCTGTTTTACTTGTACATAAAGATTCATGGTACATAGAGTTTTCAGACATGTTGAAAAATATGGGAGAGAAAGAAACAATTTTAATGGGGTGTGTATATATATTGATGGAGCTACTTCTGAAGCCATTTGTTGATGTTGGCAAGAGGATAAAGTAAGAGCAGACTAAGTTTAATTTATTGTTTCTACTTCCTTGGGCTCTGAAAAAAGATCTTGGATAAGGGCTTTAAAAATAAGCACTGCATTTAATTGCTTTTGCAAAGAAAATCTTTCATGTTGATAGCCATAAATATTAATGAGTTATAAGAATAGAAAATGAGATAATGGGAATAGAAGCCTTCATCAGAATGACAATGCATGAAAACCAATTTTAGGACTTCAAATTCCAGCCCTGTTTGGGTAACTTTTACTTTGCTAACCTCCTACTGAAAGCAACTATGAAAGCTGGATAAAGAACATAAAACAACTGCTTGAATTCTTCATTATATAATCCAGGCAACCTGAACTTTAGTGGTCAAAAGAACAGAGAAAACAGAAATCCAGTATGGTGAGATTTTCAGATTAGTCTCTTGGATTCTTTCGTTGGGTAAATTCCTTTCTTTTTTTTCTTATTCACACATCAAATAGGGAAATTGCCCTTTTAACTCACTTTAAGAGGAACATGGTACTCTAGGAACACGAAACATTTGTTCTAACTAGAAGACAGAGATTGGCATTTTGGAGTTCCACGAACACCAGGAGTTGTTCAGAAAGATCCTGAGCTGCAGAGTGAGGCTAACCTACTAAAATTCACAGAGGTAAAACTTAAAAAATAAAGAAATAAACAACGGGTACTTCTATATATTTTCCAGAAAGAAAACTTCAAACACAGATAGTTTAACCAGTTATATTTACCAACACTTTAAGAAAGAATTAACACCCATCTTAAACTCTCTAAGGAAGACAAATTTAAAAATAAAGCATCCCTTAATTTTCTTTATGAATTAAGCATAATAACTAAAACAACAAAAACGTTATAAGAAAAGAAAAATTATATCTTAGTATTTTACTTGAAATCAGATGCATAAATGTCTATAGAAATTTTAGCAAATTAAATAAAGTAGAACATAGAAAGATTATATATCATGATTAAGGTGTTTATATCAAGAATTCATTTTTAATTTAATATTTAAAAAATCAATAAATTTTAGTATACCTACAAAATAAAGGGAAATCTATCAATAGATGCAAAGACCTTTGACAAAAATCATGATAAATCAAAAATTTGTTTACTCATGATTAAATATCTCAGAAAACTGAAAATAAAATTGAACTTTTTAAATCTGATGAAGTATAACCAATAGCTAATAAAGCAAAAATAGCATCAGTGATTAAAAACTGCAAATCTTTCCTCTGAGATCAATTACATAAACATGTCCGCTACCACCAATTCTAGTCAACAATGCAGTTAGGATAGCAAATAAAAGACACATATAAATATTGAAATGGAATAAATTAAACTATCCACATTCAGTTAAAATCCCCAAAGGAAAATGAAGACAATCTATAAAAATTTAAAATAATTGTATTAGTTGTTTGATTAAAAGTTAATATACAAAAAATTAATTGTATTTTCATATTTTAGAAAAATCAGATAAGCCATCGATCATATCATTAGAAGCTTAAAAATTTACATTCATCTAACATTGTCTTTATATGGAAAACTATAAAACATGATTGAGTGAATTCAAAATTATAAGTAAGATGAAAATTTTACACTTAAGATTGAAAACCCTATATTGTCAAGACTTCCTGAAATGATGTATTGAACAAAAGCTAATGAAAACAGTGGCAGTTTTTTTCAAAATTGTTTTAAATTTATATAAAAGTCAAAATGGCTAAGTTAGCAAAAATACTTTTGAAGAAAAATAAAGCTTAATATTTACACTGTAAAATTTCAAGGCCTTTGGTTAAGATGCAGTAATTCAAGCACTGTCTTATTAGTGAAAGAATACATAGATACAGGTATGTAACAAAATGGAAAAAACAACCTAATATATATGTGGTCACCAATTGTATAACAAAGTAACTACAGCAATGACACTGCCATGGCTTGAAGCAGAAGTGTTATTTTCAATAAATCTGTGATTTTTAAATTGAATTCTAGGATATCAAATTAAAGGGACTCATGGACTTGAGTGGGAAAAAATTACAACTTAACCTCTGCTAATCTCTAAGCAAGGTTTATTATTCCTTTCATATATGAATATAGGTAGAAAATAGCATTAGTATTAGCAGTACCTGGAAACTGTCACCAATAAAAATCATAGATTTTTCAGTTATTGAAGAAATCTTGAAATGCCATGTCAACGTATGGTATTTGAAAAATCAAATTAGCTATCAGACTTGCTGCTGAATATTGTTACTATTTAAATTATTTTTCTTTTCTTTTTTTTTTCTTTCTGAGACTAAGTCTCAATCTGTTGCCCAGGCTGGAGTGCAGTGGTGCGATTGATCTAGGCTCGCTGCATCCTCCACCTCCCGGGCTCAAGAGATTCTCCTGCCTCAGCCTCCCGAGTAGCTAGGATTGCAGGCGCGGCACCACCACACCCGGCTAATTTCTGTATTTTTAGTAGAGACGGGGTTTCACCATGTTGGCCAGGCTGGTCTTGAACTCCTGATCTCAGGTGATCCGCCTGCATCGGCCTCCCAAAGTGCTGGGATTACAGGTGTGAGCCACCACGCCTGGCCAATTATTTTTCATATTTAAAAATCTTATTCTGCTAAGACGTAAGCTTAGCTTTCTTTTTATTTCCAATGGATTTAATATTACAAGTATATATAAGGATATAGAATCAATTGGGTATACTTATGGTAAACAAACAAAAGATCAAAAACAACAGCAACAACAACAAATAATATTTCCCTAATTAACATGGTACACAGAAAATTGTTTCCAGATAGACTTACATCTTTTTTTTTTTTTTTGAGACAGAGTTTCACTCTTGTTGCCCAGATTGGAGTGCCATGGCATAATCTCGGCTCACTGCAACCTCTCCCTCCCAGGTTTAAGCGATTCTCCTGCCTCAGTCTCCTGAGTAGCTGGGATTACAGTCACGCGCCACCAAGCCCGGCTAAGTTTGTTTTTTAGTAGAGACAGGGTTTCTCCGTGTTGGTCAGGCTGGTCTCGAACTCCCAGCCTCAGGTTATCTGCCCACCATGGCCTCCCAAAGTGCTGGGGTTACAGGTGTGAGCCACTGTGCCCGGCCTTGGACTTATATCTAAATATGAAATTAGATCAATAAAGCTTTTAGAAGATAACATAGTGGGATATTATAAGGAACTTGCCAGTGGCACTCTTTTTTCTTGAACAGGAAAAAAAAAGCACTATACAAAAAAAATGACTAGTAAATTAGACCATTTTAAAGTGAGTAGGTCTAGTCATCAAAGGGCACATTAAGACTGTGAAGAGTCAAGCCACAAGATTAAAGAAATATAGACAATATAATATTTGATATTTAATTTTTCTAAGAAAGTATTTAAAAACTTTTTCAAAATAATAAGTAAAAGAAGACAAAGAACCCAATAAAAAATGGGCAAAGGGCTTGAACAGGTGTTCATATAAGTGTCTTCCCAATGGGTCCTAAGCTTACCAAAAGATGTTCAAAGTTACCAGTCATCAAAGTGCAAATCCAAAAACAATGAGACATATAGCAGCGGCATATCTACTATTACTTTTTTTCTTTTTTAAAGTACTATAATAATCAAGCATTGAAAACATATGGAGCAACTTGAACTTTTCAAGTCCTATTGGTGGAAGGGGAAGTTAGAAAAAAAATATTAGAAAAACGTTTTGCAGTATCTTCTAAATTTGGACTATGCATTTTCTATGACCCAGACCTTTTAGTCTTAAATAGAAATGCTTACATGTGTTCATCAAAGGACATTGACCAGAGTGTTGATGCTTAATTCATTATATATCTAAACTAGAAAAAAATAGTCCATCATAGCTGAATGTATAAATAATTCCTATTATATTCATATAATGAAAATCAGCTTGATAATGGAGACAAACCATTATTTGAATCACTTAACAATTAAAAAAAGTTTTATTGATAAATTGGCAAAATAAGCTAGACACACAAGAAACTTTATGATTTATTTTATGTAACATTCAAAAGTAGGCAAATTTTACTTATCTTATGTTAGAAAACTGAATTATAGTTAACTCTGGAATGGAGTTGGCATGAAAGAAGTTTCGTAGATGTTCCATATCATTCTGTGTCTTGACCAGTGTGGTCACTACATGGGTGTACACATGTGTTTTAAAATATGCATTAAATTTTACAGCAAGGTTTGCAAACTTACTGCATGAATGTTTGTTTCAGTAAAAGCATTTCCTCTACTTAATACCAGCCAATATCCCTTTACATGAAAACAACAATAGAAAACTTACCAACTCATTTTTCATGAAAATGCCAAATCAAGATGATCTATTAGACATATATTCTATAATAAGAATGTAATAAAATTTTCTCCATTTTTAATGAAAATGGAGTAAGTGAACATGAGCTTAAACTGTGGGTAAACAAATATTCTTAGAAACTAGATAAAGAGTTGGAAGAAATGTTATGTCTATAGAAGCTGAAATTAAACAGAAGGCAAATTACAGAGATTGCTTACTGCTTTATTTGCAAATTTATTGTGCTTGTAGCACAATAAATTATTCAATTTACCCCAATTATTGACTGATTGTTGTGTTCTTAGAACTGTTAGGTACTTTAGAAAGGCACAGTGCCTTTTAATTATCTGCAAGACTTCAATCCCAATCTGATATCTGAGTTCAGAAGGGACAGATCAGGCTACAATTTTTAGACTACATGTACCAATTCCAGACTCAATAAAAAAGTGACTCTTTCAATATTTTTATTAACTGTGTTGAAGATATCTAGAAAGACCTTGAACCCAGTCACCGACACATCTGATATGTAACAAAAGAAACAGAAATCCCAATACAGAAAAATAGAGAATGAGTCAAGGATTATTCAGGCACAGACAAATAACCATTGAAAGTATTTTTCATGCTGGGGTTTCCATTAGATCTTAGAAACTCCTATTAACAGTTAGGTTCCCAAACCTCTGAAATAATAACATGTATTTTCTTCAATCAACTCTTCTGTGTAATGTGTGAGCAGAGGATCTTAATAGCCTATTTCATATTGGGAAAGAAGGACTAAAGAAGAAGGATCTGCCGAGATTATGGCAAATGCCAATACTAAACCTGTCACTGGTCATTAAACAAATACATACATGAAAGGAGAAAAAAAGGGATATGAACATTTAGCAACATAATAAACAAAGAAGAATATAGAACTCAAGGTATGAAGTACAGTGCACTTTTGAAACAAAGATCAAAGGAATGTGGTATATAAATTTTAGTAAGCATCTATGTATACTTTAAAATTTTGTGTAGATTTGGATTCTAAAAGTAAGAGAGTAGTATAAAAAGAGTTTATTGATATCCATGAAAAGTTTAAAGAAATACAAATATTAGAATTTTATTAGAAATATTAAGGTTCAGAATCAATTATGTAAAGTATCAGATGATAAATGTGGGACAACACATTTAAATTTGCTCTGATAATAGTATAATGATAAAGAACAAAACAGATCAAAAATAATGTGTAAAGTCATACATCTTCAAGTAGACATTATGAGAAATGGCCTACATCATGTGAATCAGAAGCAGTAACAGAAGCAATAACCACATTTAAAATATGACAAAACTGTCTTGAAACAGTCTGTGACTTTCAAAGGTTTGGTATGGATCAGGCAATATAAGGAAGAGGTATAGTGTGGTTAACATTTTGAATTTCAAGGAGAAGTAAAGAAAAAAAGGCAGAAAAATAAAAATTCCTTCTACACAGAATGAAAAACCATGGAGGCCTCCAAATTTTTATTGATAATATTGAACTTTGGAAGATAAAATGGTAAATCACTACGATTCTTGAAGGATTGGGTTGGTAACCAAGCATTTCTATGCAAGAAAACTAACTAATATGGGAAGAAACCAAACAAACAAAATATTAAATATGTGTCTACGGGAGTGGCTGCAGGCATATGCCCAATGCAAAAGGCAGTTTTACATTGTAAAGACATTTACATTTAATGCAATGTAAAAGTTTTACATTTACATTACAATGTAAGAGCTGGATCACAATAAGAACTTTAGAATATGATATCATAGAATACATTTTTTCAACAAATTATGAAATCAGTTCATGTAAAATCACATGTAGACAATTATAAAAATAGTTATGAAATAATTCAAATATATATATAACTAAAACAAAAGCTATAAAACAGTAATAGTAATAGCAATACTAGCACAATGTTCCTTAATTGTGATATGTTGACATAATGTAGACAATTCTTAGAAAATCAGTACACAAAAATAATAAAATTGAATTTTGTTAATCTACCTTGGTATGTGTCAGTATATACTTTATTTCCTTAACTGGGTTATTTAAGAAATATGGACATTTTTTAACTTGATTTTAAGTTAATATATTTTTAAAATAGTATGAAACTCTATACATTTGCAACAAATACAGTAATATAAAAACATAACGTATGCTTGTGGGAAACTTAGAGAAAAACAATTGCAGCAAAAGGAACAATAACAAATGAAAAGAATAGAACAACAGAACTAAGACCAAGTAGATTATTTTGATAATACTCCACTGAGAAAACCATTACATCAGGTCAAAAATTAATATCTACGTGTAAGCTATTTACAGAAAATAAATGTAGAACAAATCTGCTTTGAAAGTTTAAGGTAATAATACGGAGAAAAAAATGTGTCCAATAATTGCAAAGCAAAGGTATGCTTAAATAATAAATGCTAGATAATGTTAAAGTTAGAACAAAAATATTAACTTGGTCAAAGAAGATCTTGTATTTTTTTAGAGTGTGAACCATAGTGATTATGATGAAAACACAATATGGATTAAGTAGAACTCTAGCAGATAAAAAAAAATTAAAAGTTTAAAGAGAAAGCCTTAGAAAGGCATTAATAATGAGTCCAGTTTAGCACACATCTCATAAATTGATAGGTCCAGCTCTCAAATATGAACATAACATTGAGTTTCTGATAACAATCAAAGTGTACTGAGCTATACTTTTTGTTTCCACAGCATTAATAGAAGATTTGTTTCAAAAAGATCAAGGTACTTGCCTCTGTAGCACATATACTAAAATTGGAAGGATGCAGAGAAGATTAGCATGGCCCCTGCCCAAAAAGCTAAAAATAAAAATTTTAAAAAGAAGATCAACTAATACAAACCAGTGGTAACCTCACAAAATTGCAGAATTATATAGCCAAATTTTTTGATTGGGATACCTACCACTATACATTAATAACAAAGATGAAAAATGATGCCAATGATATCTAGGAAATGATATGGAGGGATTCTCAGGATATACGGTTAAATCGAAAAAAGAAATGTGTAAAATAGTATCTACAGCATGCTACCTTTTGTATATATACTTGTGAAAGTCCTATATGGCATCTTCTTTCAATACAAGGCTATTTGTCTACCTTGAAAACTTTTCGTTTAGTGTAGCCACTTTCATCAATCATCTTACCTAGATCTAAGTAATTCGCTGTACCTTCTATATCAGCACTGTTGCTTCACCTTGCACTTTTATGTTATGAAGATGGCTCCTTCCTTAAACTTCATCAACTAACCTCTGCTAGCTTCAAACTTTTCTTCTGCAGCTCACCTCTTTCAGCTTTCATAGAATTGCAGAGAGATAAGGTGTTTCTCTGGATGAGGCTTTGGCTTAAGGAAATATTGTGGCTGGTTTGATCTATCCGGACAACTCAAACTTTTCTCTGTATCAGCAATAAGGCCATTTTATTTTCTTACAATTCTTGTGTTCACTGGAGTAGCATTTTTAATTTCCCTAAGAACTTTTCATTTGCATTCATAATTTAGCTAACTGTATATCCAATTGTTTAAAGACACAAACCAACATTTTCTGATCCACAAGGGTTGAATGGTTTTTGAAAAATAGAGCTTCACAGATACGAATTTCTAGATGTAAGTGGAAAATACTGATAGCTCCTGATTCAATGCTTTATTTGCATTCAATACCATGAAAAGGAAGACATTACTTATTTGGAAAGTTAGATCCAACTTATGTAGCTCCTCCCACACCTCATGTTTGGCTGTTCCTCATTGATTTCTATATCTCTTTCCCCCTTAAATACCACTGCTTTTGCCTATTTTTCCCCTTTTTAAATTTAATTTTAAACCATGTGAACACACTTCAAAAATGTCTTATCATATATATATAATTTTAAACCATTGCATTAGTTCCTTTTGTTCTTATGCAGTTTACAATTGGTATTTATAAAAATTTAATTTTCAACCATCTACAGAATTGTGAGAAAACTGGATATCATGACTGCTGGAAAGAGGATATTTGAGGAGGTAATTTTTACCTCCATCTGTATCAACACTAGCTTCATTTTTCATCTATAGCAAAAGTTCTACTTAATATAATGAGACTCATTGAAAGTAAGAAAGCAAAAAAAAATTCATAAAAACACTAACACTGCAGAACTTGATACCCTCTTCTTAAAGCAAAACCTTGATTATAATCATAGCAATGAAGCAAATCACTATCCTTTTATCTCTTTATAATTTATTCACATGTCAATGGTCTACAACTTAACATTAAAACTTTTATTTTTCTAAGAAGCAAATGTGGTCTCAAGTTAATTTCCAATCAATGCTTTTCATAGCTTTTTGGATGCAAACATGGGGAGTCATTAAATTCACAGTTCAGCTCTTGTTCTTTGCTCTTTAATTCTCACATTTTCTTTCTGTGTTAGAGGATCAAAGAAGACGCCTTCAAATAAATGTGCCACATTATAATCCTTTAGATTTAAACCACAGGTTCCCTACCCTGTAGCTAAAGCATCTACTTCTATAGTAAGCTCTGCTCATTTGGATACAACTTGAAGAAAATATCTATTAGCCTTTTTCTAAGTGCATTCACAAATTGTTTTTAAACACTTCTATAAAACAGAGAAATAATAACTAGTCTAACATTTCTGAAAGAAAACACTTTTGATAATATAAAAATTATATATTCATGAAACAAGCAATGCTAGAGAGGTTAAACACTGCAAAAAGTCTAATTTAAGATGCAATTATGGATCACTCAGTTTGCTTTCTGGGAACCATGAGAATTTTAAATTGAAGTGAGTATAAATTACAGCTCATTGTGTCCTATTTAATTTACTTATGTCATAACATTTTCATATCTAATGTGATATATTATTCAGTCATCTTAGTAAAATGTTGCCTTTTTGTTTGTAGTTTCATGATAATAAAATTGTCTATTTAAATTTTTTAATAAAAAATAAATGCTTTGTACTTTCTGAAAACAAATGCAACATTAATGTATTACTAAGAAAAAATGCCACAAAATCATTACAAATGTTTAAGCCCTGTTAACGAAAGATATCTAAGATGACTGCTTCTTTCTGAAAGATCAATTTTAAAAATTAGTATTTTCACAATTAGTTTGATGATGAGCAATTGTTACACATTCTATATATGATTTTCTGTAATAATGGGCAAGGATGCCCTATCTACATAACTTTCTATCTGGAGGTTGGAATGTTCCATCTTACAACATCTTACATCTTACAAATCTATATTTTGCAATATAGATTTAAAACAATTACCAAGTTTTAGAAAGTGACCATTTCCTCAGAATGAGACAGATCTTCACAATTTTCATCCAGGACATTACCAATAGTACTTCCAGATTTCCCAGCCACTAATCCAGCTTCTCCTCCATCTCCATTGTTTATGCTCCTATCCTAGTTAAATAATGTCTGCCTTATGGACAGAGAATTCTGCCTTATAATGCTTTTTATGGTACATGCACAGCAAAGGTATTCATTTGGGCACAGAAAGAACAAATAAAATATAATATTAAAATATTTATCTAATTTTCTAAACATTTAAAATCAGACTTCTAAATGAAAGCAGTTCATTTATTATTCATTCAGTTTACTGAATTAACCTCACTACTGAGTGAAATAAAATACTCATCTTTCTGAAATACAGTAATATCTAAAGAAAAGAAGCATATATGAGACAAATTTTTTCTGAACTCATTAATTTAAACTTGCATGTTTCATGTCTAACTGCATGTGCAGAGACTATTAAAATCTAACTCAACCACATTTATTACTAGTGTTAAGTATACCATAGCTTTTTCTGCAAGCTATATTTATAATATAAATGATTCATATGCCATATTTTAAATAAAACTACACAAAAATGCTACACTTGATTTCTGTTATTAAAGCTTTATGGGAGGTATATCTTCCCTTGTGAACATGGTCATTTATCAAATGTACTCTATGTACTTATATGGATATCCTAAAATTCTCTGAATTACACTCAAATTTTTCCATAGAGCTTCAGGAAACTTAATCATTTTAAAATATGATATTTTCAAGGATGAATCTTGAAAATACTTACAATCTATTTTGATACATGATTGCAGTGAGTGAATCAGACTAAATAAAATACTTGACAGTTCACATGAACAATGAGATTTGTTGTGGCTTATGAATATTTGAAAATGTGGCTGTTTATATGAGTTGATCAGTTATTTCTATGAAGATGATTCATCTGGCAACTTTGAACAGATGTGATTTTTGAAAGTAACAAATTTCAGGTAATGTAAATCCAGATTAATTTAGTCAATGAACCACAAAAGTGACTCATATAGCAAATATTTATCAAGTCAACAAAGGTCAGAATATGATGATTACAGTACACACCTCACTTTTAAAAAACAATATGTCTAACAACCAAATTACAACTATATTGTCAACAGTGTGTAAATAAAGCTTGATAAAAATGTGAAAAAAAGAATTCAATAGGTAAGAGATATCTGAAGTTGGAAATTCTGTTATCTGAGATACCTGATATCGCTGTGCACCTGGAAATAAAAACGATGTCCATTTCACAACTTCCCTCCTTGTGATCTCAGACATACACACTGGCTTTATCCTAGAGTGTCATTTGATGGACAGCTGGGCAGTCATCCCTCAAGTGACAGTTTGTTCATTCTGCTTTTCTGTGTTTTTTGTTCTGACTTTTCAGTTTAGGTTGGTAGCTACGACTAGCAATGATATGGGCTTGAGTTGTAGAAGTGTACTGACGAGAAGTTGCTTATTGCGAATAAGTGCAGAAGGTCAACAAACCAGAAGTCCAGAAGTAATTTGAGTTTGGAAATCAAACATAACAGTGAGGCAACTGTCAGGTGATGAACTCAACGTAGTTTGTTATGGAAGGATGAGCTGTCAGGTCTCTCATGAGTGATACCAGAAATCAGCCAAAACTATCTAGGGAGACAGAAAGAAAACTCAAGGGTCAGAGTTCCTGCACGCTAGAAGTAACCTAAGTCAAGTTCTAGTCAAGTTTCTATCAGGTCACTGGGGACATCCAATGCCCTTATTAAGTCCTAGTACAGAAAATGTCTAAGCCATTAGGAAAGAAGTCTGTTAACTAAAGTAATAGCTAGAATGGCTCTGAAATTCTGAAAAATAGATACTAAAAAGGGACTTTTATTTTCTTTAAAAATGACCATATTCAGGTGAATCAATTTTTAAAAAGATGAAATACATTATAAATATTATAAATTTGAAATAAATAAAATTTTCTGTATCATGACATATCCAGGTTATAGGCTGGCTCCTTTCATTTAGACACAAACTCTGGAAGACCTTCATCAGTCATTGAACTAAAATCTATGATAGGAAGCAGTCACCTTCCTTACTGATATTTTAAACATTAAAAAGTTAAATTTCAGAAAAGTGTTTTAAAATTAAACTGTTAGAAATTATATTACAATACCATTGCATACCTGCTTTTGAGAATTATTTAATTAATTTTTTTATTAATTTGAATCCAAAGAACTGTTCTCATTAAGTCCTTTGGAAATTTCATGTATTTTTACTATTTTTACAACCTAGGGTGAAGTTTTTCTCTTTAGTTATGATTAAGCTTTTCTCGGTTTTAATGATTAAATGTGTTTTTAAAGGAAACATAAGCTATTCATCCATTCAAGTTCACACACACACACACACACACACACACACACACACACACATTAAACCAAGGGAGAAAGATCAGATATTTATTGTACTTCAATTGCTTGTGGCTTTCTAGTGATAGCTAACTACCTGTCCACCAACCCAGCTCTCCCATATTTCTTATCTAATAACATTTAAAAAGCAAACGGAAATATAATAGAAACAAAAATTGAAATCTGATCAACAAAATCTTAAATTATCATCATTATGTGTAATTAACTCCATAAATCAATTGGCATACTATCTAAAAGCTGTAATCCATTGATTTATCCCAATTTTATATGACTAATATTGACCAAATAATTAAAAATTATTAAAAATAAAGCTCATGACTCATATGCTCTTCTTAGTTATGCTATATGACAGAACTATTAAGACAATTAACAATTAAATCCTGCCTATCACTCAGCCTTGTGTTTATATTCACTTATTCATCAATTCAAGAAGTATTGTTTGAATAACTAATTTACATCAGGAGACAGAGTAGTGAAAAAAAAAACAGACAAAATCGTGGCCTTTCTAAAATGTGCATTCTACTGGAAGAAGACAGATAACAAGTGAACATTATAAAATATTAGACATAAAATATACAGCATCCCTGGTGGTGATCACTGCTTAGACAAAGGAGAATAGGGAATGCTGAGGTGGAGACTGCAATCTGAAATAAGATTATAAAAAAAGGCTTCAGTGAGAATGAGATTTTAGAGCCTAAAGAAGGTGAGAAGATGAGCCTTGCAGTTATACTGGAGAAAAGCATTCCAGACAAAAATAACAACTGCAAAGGCCCATTGGCAAGATCTCTGTGATTGAATTCAAGAACCAGCAAATTGGTCACGGTGGAAGAGCAAAAATAGTAAAGGCACTAAAAATAAAAGAAGGTGAAGACAGTGAGGTAGGAGGAAGGCAAATCATGTGGGGCACATTTTGGATTTCACTCTGGGTGATATGGGAAGTTATTTGTGGGTTTTGACTCTAGAGAGTCTAATTTCTTTTTGTTTTTTTGTTTTGTTTTGTTTTGTTTTTTTGAGACAGAGTTTCGCTCGGTCACCCAGGCTGGAGTGCCGGGGGTGAACTTGCCTCCTGGGTTCAAGCGATTCTCCTGCCTCAGCCTCCTGAGTAGCTGGGATTACAGGTGCCTGCCACCAAGCCCAGTTAATTTTTGTATTTATAGTAGAGATGGGGTTTCACCATCTTGGCCAGCCTGGTCTTGAACTCCTGACCTCGTGATCGCCCGCCTCAATCTCCCAAAGTGCTGGGATTACAGGCATGAGCCACCATGCGTGGCCTCATTTAACTTATTAAAGTTAAGTGCAAGATAATATTGCCTCACACTTATAGATGGATAGAAGAATGGGGATTAGATGTTTAGATAGATATTCCTTAATACTAATATAATAATATGTATTATGAATAATATATAATTTATATATTTTATTAAAGTGTATGCATATTAAAGAAACTAATTCCATTTTAGTTTCTGAAAAAATCTTCTTAATAAAAGTGTTTTTACACCCATACAAATTCCTCTCAGACCTATGCCTCTTTAAAAAAAAGAAACATTAACACAATTTTCACAAAATATGTATCGAAAGCATTTATCTCGACATAATTAAGGTTATGTATGAAAAGCCTACAGCTAAAGTCATAATCAAAGAGGAAAGGCTGAAAACTTATTCTCTAAGATCTGGTACAAGGCAAAGATGCCTCCCCATTCAACATAGTACTGAAAGTCCTAGCCAGGGGAGTTAGATAAGGAAAAAAAAAAAGACATTCAAATTGGAAAAGAGAAGTAAAATTCTCTCTCTTTGGAGATGACATGATCATATATGTAGAGAATCCTAGGAACTCAACAGCAACAAAAAAACTGTTAGAAATAATAGTCAAATCCTGTAAACTTACATGATCAAAATCAACACATAAAATCTAGTGAAATTGATGAACACTGACAACAAACCTTTCAGAAACAAAATTCAAAAAACATTTGCAATGTTAACAACAACAAAAATACTTAGGAATAAACTTATCCAAAGAGGTGAAGGACACTTACACTGAAAACTATAAAACACTAATGGAGGAAATTAAAGGAGACACAGATAAAAGGAAAGACATGGAGTGTTCATGAATTAAAAGAGTTAATATTGTTGTTTTCTCACTTTAGGGAGATTCTTTAAGCAATTACCATATCAGCAGACACAGATGTTTTCCTTTCTTCATATGATGAAGATCAGGGACCCAAACGTTAGAAAAGCTAATGAGGCACCATTTGTCCCCATTGGAATGGCTGATTTCATAGCAATTGTTGCATATGGGTTATACAAGCTGAAAAGCAGGGGGAATACTAAAATATACCTTCATTTGATCCACATGTGTGTGGCAGCTCAAGGCTTTGTTGTAGGAGCAATGACTGTTAGTATGAGCTATTCCACGTATCAGGAATTCTGGGAAAAACATAAGCCTTAGAAGAAGAGATGCCGTCTTGATCTTGTTGGAGGAGCTTGCTGTAGTTAGACAACTTATTACTGAAGTTATATGTTAATGTTGAAAATAAACTATTTGAGTGTGTTCAGATTATAACATGGTGTTTTGAATACTGACTTCCTTTCTTGCAGGCTCATCTTGCCTGGTGACCAAATTACTAGTGACTAATTTACTAGCTAGGTCATTCAGGGGAATCAAGTTAACACAAAAGAAACACATCACCTAAATGCAATTGATGGTGCTGAAGTGTCCATCTTCTTAAACCGTTAAGATGCAATTCATTCTAAAAAAGATAGCAAACCAACCCTGAACCCCAGTTTGCTGAAGAATCTTGTTTTGGATGTTATATAAGAGTCCTATTTGCCTCAGTTAATTTACCTTTTTTTCAGCCTGTGTTGTGGACTGGCTGGCTCTTTTAGAACTCTGTCAAAAAAGTGCATGGAATATAACTTGTAAAGCCTCCCGCAGTTACAAGTATATATATGTGTGTGTGTGTTTGAAGCAAATCTAGAAAGTTTACAAGAGAGCTGCACAGTAGCAGTATTTATTGAAGAATCACAATTGCAAACATAAGAATAATTTAATTATGGATTCTATTTGAGTTATTTTGTAATTGCAGAATTATATATTTGCTGCTGTTAGAATAATTTTTAAATGTCATCTTGAAATAGAAATAAGTATTTTAAGTGCTCATGCAAAGGTAAATGAAGAACACTTTTTAAATGTATGCATTGTTTATATTCTCCATAAGAATGTTTAATGTTTAGTTGTAAACACTAAACGAATTACCCATAATGGAATTGCTTAATGATTTATGAGCAAGCTGATTTGATCACACATTATATGCTAACTTTGATATAATATAGAACGCTTTATTACACTTGTGAAAATCTCTTGTCTAACCTGAATTTACATTCATGATGATAACATCATATATGTATTGTTATTAAAGTTAGTGACCATAAAAAAATAGTTAATATTGTTAAAATGTCCAAACTACCCATTGATCTGGTTTTAATGCAATCCCTGTCAAAATCCCAATGGCATTCTTAACAGACATAGAAAAACAATTCTAAAATTCATTTAAAAGAACAAAATACCAAGAATTCAAAAGCAATCTTAAGCAAGAAAAATAAAGCTGGATACATGACACATTCTGATTTCAAAATATATTAAAAAGCTATAGTAATCAAAACAATATAGTGCAGTCACAAAAGAAACTTGTAGACCAAAGGAGCAGAATAGAGAGCCCAGAAATGCATCCATACGTTTACTGTCAACTGATCTTTGATAAAGGTGCTAAGACACCCGATGGAAAAGGATAGCCTGTTTAATAAGAGGTGTTGGAAAAACTGAATATCTAAATGTGAAAAAATAAAAGTGAAACATTATCATGCATCGTATTCAAAAGCCAATTTAAAATTTATTAAGGCTTAAATATAACACACGAAAATGTAAAACTACTAGAAAAAACATTGGGAATAACCTTGTTGACATTGGTCTTGGCAACAGATTTTTGGTTGTAACACCAAAAGTACAGGCAACAAAAGCAAAAATAGACAAGTGGATTGCATCAAACTACAAAGTCTTTAACACAGCAAAAGAAACAATCAACCTGTAAAAATGAAGCCTACTGAATTAGAGAAAATATTTGCAAACCAAATATCTGATAAGGGGTGAATATTCAAGATACATAAGGAACTCATACAACTCAATAGCAAAGAATAAGTAAATGAAACCAAAAAAAAAAAAAAAAAAGGAACAACAACAGACTCAATGACCCAACTGAGAATTGGGCAAAGGACCTGAATAAACATTTCCCAAAAGAAGACATACAAATGGCTCAAAAGTACATGAAAAGATGCTCAACGTCACCAATCATCATGGAAACGCAAATCAAAATCACAATAACGTATCACCTCTCACCCTAAAATGGCTATTATAACAAAGATAAATAAAGATAATAAGTGGTGGTGAGGATGTGGAGAAAAGGGAACTCCTGTGCGCTGTTGGTAGGAATGTAAATTGGTGCAGCCATTATGAAAAACAGTGTAGAGATTCCTCAACAATTAAAACATCTGTTGCAGGAAGTCAGGGAACCCAAATGGAGGGACCGGCTGAAGCCATGGCAGAAGAACATAAATTGTGAAGATTTCATGGACATTTATTAGTTCCCCAAGTTAATACTTTTATAATTTCTTATGCCTGTCTTTACTGCAATCTCTGAATATAAATTGTGAAGATTTCATAGACATTTATCACTTCCCCAATCAATACTCTTATAATTTACTATGCCTCTCTTTACTTTAATCTCTTAATCCCGTCATCTTCATAAGCTGAGGATGTATGTCGCCTCAGGACCCTGTGATGATTGCATTACCTGCACAAATTGTTTGTAAAGTATGTGTGTTTGAACAATATGAAATCTGAGCACCTCAAAAAGAACAGGATAACAGCAATTTTCAGGGAACAGGGGAGATAACCGTAAAGTCTGACTGCCTGTGAGGCCGGACAGAACAGAGTCATATTTCTCTTCTTTCAGAAAGCAAATAGGAGAAATATCGCTGAATTCTTTTCTCAGCAAGGAATAACCCTGAGAAAAGGAACGCATTCCCAGGGGGAGGTCTCTAAAATGGCCGCTCTGAAAGTGTCTGTCTTATGCAGTTGTAGATAAGAGATGAAATACACCCTGGTCTCCTGCAGGCTTGCTAGGATTAGGAAATTCCAGCCTGGTCAATTCTAGTCAGACTGGTTGTCTGCTTGCAAACCCTGTTTCCTGTTAAGATGTTTATCAATGACAATGTGTGCCCTGCAGGACATGGACCTTCATCAGTAATTCTAGTTTCACCCTGGCCTTGTGATCTCACTCTGCCTCTCTGCCCTTGTGATATTTTATTGCCTTTGAAACATGTGATCTCTGTGACCCACTCCCTATTCGTACACCCCTCTCCTTTTGAAACCCCTAATCAAAACTGGCTGGTTTTGCGGCTCAAAGGGCATCACCGAACCTGCTGACATGTGATGTCTCCCCTGGACATCCAACTTTAAAATTTCTCTAATGAATTAAAATTTTTCTAGTTAGATTATCTTTTTAATTATAGAAATGTAATTATTATCAGATGTTACATTTTCCTGGATACAAATTCCAGACCTAAAAAACAATGATATAAAAAACCAAATCAGTATTTTCAAAAAAATTAATATCCAAAGTAATTCTATCATAACCTAAATTCTTATAATTTTTAATGCTGTTATTTTTATCTAAAAGCATTCTAAAAGAATACTAATAAGTGAACAGTAAAATCTGGGATTTAGAAACCCCCTTGCACACACCATAATGGTTCTCCCAGTTATTGAATCCTATATTACTCCAGCACTAGTAAAGCATTTTGACGAAGGGGCAACTTTTTTTTTGTTTGTTTTGTTTTTTTTTTTGAGATAGAGTCTCGCTCTCTTGCCCAGGCTGGAGTGCGGTGGTGCGATCTCGGCTCACTGCAAGCTCTGCCTCCCGGGTTCATGCCATTCTCCTGCCTCAGCCTTGCGAGTAGCTGGGACTACAGGCGCCCGCCACCACACCCGGCTAATTTTTTGTATTTTTTAGTAGAGATGAGGTTTCACCATGTTAGCCAGGATGGTCTTGATCTCTCAACCTCATGATCCGCCCGTCTCGGCCTCCCAAAGTGCTGGGATTACAGGTGTGAGCCACCGTGCCTGGCCAGGGGCAACTTTTCTTAAATTTTGAATCCTATGACATAAATTAGAATAGCAACACTCATCTTTTATCCCATGACAGAGTATTCTGAGTTATCCGATATTAACTAGTGCCCTCAAAAGGACATCAGACAGATTATGCCTACCCAAATTTCTCTTTAATCTCTAAAACTATAAACATATCTGCCATTACCTGCCCAGGAACTTCACTGACTTAGCAAAATCTGGTCAAATAATGTCCTTTCCTATATGTGAAAGGTAACTCCATTGTGGAAGCAATACTGAAGCTTTCACCTGATTTAACACTGTATACTATAAAGGTTGCCAATTCACATGAAGAGAGAGAGCATACCAGGCATTAATAAAAGAAACACACCTTCCTAATAGCACGAGAACTTGGATGTGGGGATGAGAAACAAGCCAACTGGATAAGATCAACCTATTTGTTTCTTTATCTATTTAACAACTAATGTTTTTACTGTGTCCAGCGTGAAGGACTTTCAGATACAAATTGAAAGCCTGGCTTCAGTAACCACACAATATTAAATAAATAGTGATTATAGCCTAGCTGTTCAAGAAGGATAGTCTGTTTACATAAATTTATATATATATGTATATGTATGTATGTTTTCATTGCTCAGGAAAAGTGCATTAAAAACAAAATAAGGAAAGCACATATGGTAACAATTCTGAAGGTTAAAGCTTTCCATTCCAAACCCATCTCACAAATCCACATATAGATGCCAGGAAAATAAAGGAACTAAAAATGCTTCTCATGTTGGTTCTATGTTGTATTTCCTCATTGTTGTAGTAAAGTGTTACCCTATAATATATGTGCTCCTAGAAACCAACAAGGCAAGCCTAGACAAAAGAATAAGTTTTCCAGATATAATATTAAATCAGAGAACAGCAACTCAATACTGTTTATATAACAAATACCCAGTTATAAATGAACACTTACCAATTTTATTATACTTAAACCTTTACATAGTGACTAATAGCTAGTATGAAGAAGCCTTTGCTTATTCCAGTACAAAAGTAAGATTTCCAAGATTTTCCCCGAATGATCAGATGTGGAAGGTGAAGAATAGACCAAAGTACAAGTCAAGAATTTTTAAATATTCTAATGTTGGTAAGAGAATAAACTACATTTCACCAAATGAGATGGAAAGTACAGGAATACAAGCCAGTTTGGAGGAAGAAATATGAATTCACCTTTTGCAATAATGAGTTTCAGGTGCCATGGAAACATCCAAGTTCAGGTGTCCAGACCACGTTAGGCATTCATCTTTAAAGCTCAATGGAGAAGGCTCAGCTGGAAATTTATTTCTAGGAGTCCTTATTATATAGATGGAAAGTGAAACCAGGGGAATAAATGACATCAATTTAATATAGTAGAGAGAATAAGAGCAAAGCTGGAGATAGAATCCTAAAGTCAATTAATATTTTTAGGGACCAGACAAAGGATGAAAAAGAGTTTTGTTTCTCAGGTTACCCAGACAATATTAGTATCTGGAATACCGTATTTGAAAAAGGATGTGTAATCAATTATATATTAGAGGTAAAATTGTAAGTAATCTCGAGGTTCAATTAGAACTGGTCAGTGACTGAAATATAGTTAACGTGGATTATTAACAATGGGTCACAAACAAGGGTCATACTTATCCCACCCTGAGAAATATGTGAGGTCATTTTTAGGTGTCTCAATACCAGGGAGTGCAACTTGCATCAACAAGCAAGGCTCAAGGATGCCAAAATGGGCTGGACAGCCCCACGCAATGAGCAATTTGCCCTGTGAAAATGTTTGGCTCTATATTTAAGAAGATAACTGTTGAAGCCCTTCGCACTGGAAGGCAGTGTTGTTTCTTGTTTTTTTTCTCTCCTTCAAGGGAGAAAACTGAGGATGGTTAACTGTTTATAATGAGACATCACATAGCTGGGTGATTTCCATTTCTTAATTGTGTTTCTTTTAACACATGGAGTACGCATAGGAACATGATACTGCCTTTTGTTCTTAAGATTCCCTGTGTGTGGTCAGTTCCTCAGACAACGATGTCCTCCCAGGTCACAGCTTTAAAGTGCAGGCCTGTCCCTTGAGTGCCAGAGCTAGACAAATGCCATATTCCTGAATCTCATAATCAGGAGATATTCCTGACTTAAATGAAATATCACACTGCAGGGCATGAATCATCCTGCCCCAGTGACCTCTCCAGAGTTAAGAATCTGGCATAAGGAGCCACAAAAGCAGCCTGGTGCCACAAACTAGACATTCAGAGGCATTGAGTCCACCTGGGGTAAATATAGGACAATGGGAAGCAAGAGACAGGAAATACCCAGGCAAATACATGTTTGCAGGCAGCACTGCAAAACCTAATTTCCATGTTGTCTAGTCCAAATCAGTTTTGTAAGTGACTTTTGTCAATCACCACGTGCAGTGTCTAGCACAGCAATGCATTCTCTTGGATTGCTTCATATCCTTCCCTGCCTCACTTCATTTTCTCAACTTTGCTACTGTGGTTTTTATTTTCTTAATTAACTATGAGCACTTTTAATCCTTGCCTTGGACTCCATTTTCTTGAAAATGTGGACTAAAATAATTGGGCACCTGTTACCAGAGTTATGCCACTCTCTATCTTTACTGGAGTTGACCATTCTTTTTCTGTGTATTTGCATCATCCTGTGTGCTTGCTCTCCCCATGCAGCCCTCTCCACACAGACACATATGCAGTTGACTCTTGAACAACACGGGTTTCAACTGAATGGGTCCAATTATACATAGACTTTTTTTCAATCCATCCCTCCTGTCTCCCCTTCCACCTCTTTCACCTCTGCCACCCCTGAGACAGCAAGACTAACCCCTCCTTTTCTTCTTCCTCTTCAACCTACTCAACATGAAGATAATGAGAATGAAGACTTTTATGATGAGCCACTTCTACTAAATGAATAGTAAATATGTTTTCTCTTTTTCTTAATAATATTTTATTTTCTCTAGCTTAATTTATTGTAAGAATAAGGTATATAATATATAGAACATACAAAATATGTGTTAATTGACCATTATGCTTTCAGTAAGACTTCTGGTCAACAGCAGGCTATTAGTAGTTAAGTTTTGGGGGAGCAGAAATCATATGGAAATTTTCAACAGCATGGTGGCTCTGTGCCCCTCAAATATGTAAGCTATTCATTTCTTCATATACATCCTAATTTATGACATGAAGAAAATGTATTCTCTGTGTAGATGGATAAGCAGTTCATTTTAAAGGAATATAAGTCTGTAGAAAATAAAATGTCCTGTGGAAGCTCTGACCTCAAGAGCAGAGAACTATATGATACTAAAGCTAAAGAAGTAAGTGGGAGAAAACTGTGTACAACAGAGAGAAAATAAATTGTAGATAGAGGCAATGGGAAGGGGACTATAAGGAGTTGATGAATTGATGAGACAACAGCAGGGATTGGTTAGACGGTAAAGAGTGTTCAATGAATGGTATTACCCTTCACGAATTTCCCTGTGATTTTCAATTGTCCAGGAACAATTCCAAATGTTTGGTGCGATTGGATTTTCTGTAGAATCAGGTAGAAATGGTAGAATCAGGTGAAATTCAGGGATAAAGGATAGCAGGATGGCTACCAAATCACATATGATGACAGAGATGTGATTTTTCTATGGAAGCTAAAATGCAACCCTCACCTGTATCTCAGATTTTCTCACTACAAAACACATCAAACAGCACCCCTTTACATTGCTTGCTAAATGTTTGGATCTGTGTGCAGAAAAGAAAGGTAAATATTGCTCAAGTCATGGGATCTTAGAAACATCAGTGAATCTTGGAATAGCTATAGAAAATTATATGAGATTTCTATTTTATCCTGTGCAACAAATATACTTGAAGATATCACTTATTAAAAAAAAAACCCTCTGTATTCAGACCGTCTACATTTCGGCACCACTTATGTGACCTTCAGCAAAGTATATAACCTCTCTGTGCCTCAATTTCTTTATCTGTAAAATAGGTTTGGTAACGTTCCTTATCTTACAGGATTGTTATAAGGTATAAGAATTATTATTTTTACTGAACTTTGTTCCTGAAAGTGTGGTTGGAACATGTAGACTAAAATAGAAATAAAAGAAGAAGGGGAAGGATGAAACCAGGAGGGATAGAGAGAGGGATAAAAAGTTGGAGTAAGGGAGGGAGGGAGTGAGGGGGAGAGGAAGAGAGAGAGGGAGGGAAAGAGAAAGGGAGAGAAGGTATGGAAGAATGAAGAAAGGGAAGGAGGAGGAGGAGAGGGAGGAAAGGAAGGAAGGAGAAAGGTTGAGAATGTAATGTACAGGTACTAGTGGCATTGAACCATTGGATGATTTTCATTTCTGGATATGGTCGCACACTTTTTTTAATCTGATCAATAATTATTATTCTACTTAATCTATTTTAAATTCAATTTCTGCCATCTCTAATTTACCAAAATGGTGTCACATAACAAAAAAGGATGGTATGACAGAGTTTTTGAAAAGGAGAAAACTTTCTCAAAATGAATGCCACTTGCTTTGTTTTGTTGAAAATACTGGGTAGTAACGGCCTTTCCAATATATAATTAGGGGAAACAGCCAGGAGAGGTTCTGCAGTCTGACATCCAGCACAGTTTCTATTTGAAACTATTTCTAATATATTTGTTTTTGCCCAAATTCAAACATTTTTATTTGGATTATATAAAGGAATCTCTAAAGTGGGAATTCCAATTTCTTTCCCTTGTTATGATAGGTAAAAAAAGAAGTTAGAGAGCAGTGTGCTTATCCCTAAGAAGATTTTTTTCTCTTTTTGAGACAGAGTTTCGTTCTTGTTGCCCAGGCTGGAGTGCAAAGGCATGGTCTCAGCTCACTGCAACCTCCACCTGGAGTTTAAGCCATTCTCCTGCCTCAGCCTCCCAAGTAGCTGGGATTACACATGTCCACCACTACGCCCAAGTAAGTTTTTGTATTTTTAGTAGAGACGGGGTTTCACCATGTTGGCCAGGCTGGTCTTGAACTTCTGACCTCAGCTGATCCACCTGTCTCAGCCTCCCAAAGTGCTGGGATTACAGGCGTGAGCCCCTACACCAAGCCAGAAGATTTTTTTATTTTAAGGTCGATCTGATCTTGCTCATCTAGAAGTGTTCAGAAAATCAGTCACTTGGAAGTCAGAGCCCACAAAGACTGATCATACTCTGACAATAGGATTATTTTACAGAAAATCTCAAAGCACAGAGATATATCTCAAATTCATAAAATGATATATAAAGTTAACATACATTTTTGTATACTTCATATGATTCAGACATATGCTAAAGATAATATGTATTATCTCACTTAATGCTCAGAACAACCTGTGATTTCGACTAGTTTCTATCGCCTCATATAGTTCATGAAACATGGTTAGAGAGAAGCGACTTCTCTAAACAACCCAGCTAGTCAGTGACAGACTAGAACTTCAGCTTCGTCATGTCTGGTGGCAAACTTCACGTTCTTAAACATGAAGCTGGGATGGAAAATTTTGACCAGCTACCGAAAATGACAACTGTAATTTCACCACTGGTACTTTATTCTTCCACATGGCTCCAGAGAATGAAGAAAACGTTTGCAGTATTCCTTCATTGTTACTTCTTTACTATATTTTGGTGCAATACAGTCATATACAGATATATTATTTGAATGAAAATATTTATAAAACATTTATGATTTTACTTACAACCGTCTAAGAACAATCATAGAACAGGTAGGGTTGAAAAGCATCTCTTTTCCCATGTACTCAACAACAAAAAATAAATGTCACAGAATTAATTTTAAAAAGATTATTTTGTAGAATAGTTTTTTAATCTAGTGAATGGAATATGTGTGTGTGTGTTATATATGTATATATACATATGTGTGTGTGTATATATATATACGTGTGTGTGTGTATATATATATATATACACACACACACACACTCTAGAAGTTTTGAATATTAATCTCAAGCATTTACAGCACAGTATTTGGGTGTTTCTTTGTCAGACAAATATGAATGCACACCACAGCAAATGAACTGATCTTTCAATGTGGTAATTATGAAGCTTTCTTCATGGTATTGCTAATGATCCAGAACCAATTATGACTGATAAATCTAGCATTTGTCAGCACTCAGCAACTTTGTACCAAATGAAAGTTTAAAATATGTTTTGTCTTCATAAGATGTGATTTGATTGAGCAGCTATCAAAGATGGACAGTACAACCGCATTGTTTCCACTGTCAATTTCTTTAGTTAAACGGCAAACTCTCTGCATGACTGGAGAGGGTAAAGGGCCAGAGGTTAGTATTTTCAGTTAGCTCATCATGGTACTGAAATGAGTTTTACTACCATATTGTTTTTTTTTTTTTTGGTCACTGTATGAATAGAAAGGATGCTTGGCTGCATGCACCTCATTTAAAATATCACTCAGACAAGTCATGCTTGGTAAAATTCCCTGGAGAGAATTTAAGTCCAAAGGACCATGAATATGGCAAATTAAATTTAGTTGTTTTTATATTAAATGATGCTGCCTCTTGCATTGGTTCATATTTAAATTTGTACGTGCAGTGTTTTCTCAACTGTAGTTTTTAAGAAGTGTATGCTTACAATTAATTTCACTACTAAGGCAAATCACCAAAAACCCAGCAGATCTCCAAAGACCTTGTAAAGAATCTTGTCAATCACAATTCATATTTCAAACATCAATATTTTGTAAGCAAATTTGCCAAGCACAAGTAATGCCCATAGGTAAAAACTACAAAAGGTTCATGGCTTCATAATTAACACAAAAGATGAAAGCTCACTAAGAATGAAAATAGATATGTGGTAAGTATTGAAGCAGCAGGAGGCAGCCAAATGGCTAGGCAGATAGGGGCAGGTCCCCAGTGAAACCCCACCTGCAAGCCAGAAACAGTTTAAAGCCTGAAAGCCAAGCTACAAGTTAAATACTTGGACCAGGTTAAGAACCTGTCTTTCTGTTTGGTGTGCTTTCCTCTGATTGATCCACATCTGTCATGTATTTTACATATATCTACCCTTTCCTAATTGGTTTTCTACACTATTGTGCCCACCTTTGAGTAGTGTCTTTGCTTTCACCTTTTTTTTTCATACTTACAAACCAATCAGCACACACTCCTTATTCTGAGCCCATAAAAGCCCCAGGGTCAGCCATATCAGAGAATTTTTTCTGCTTTCAGGTAGGGGACCCACCCCCTGCATTCTCTCTTTGCTGAGAACTTTCCTTTTGCTTAATAAATTCTACTCCACTCACTCTCCAGTATGGTATCCACACACCTAATTCTTCCTTGTTGTGAGACATGAACTTGGACCTAGCTGAGCTAAGGAGCAGAAAAAAATCCTCCATCAGTATCAAATGATTGTTATATTCAATCAATACAAAAAAGAGTTTGGATAAGGAAGAGATCATGGTTGGCTTTACTATTGAGACAAATTTATAGCAGATACCTATGAAGGTGAAATTTAAGGAAAAGAAGGACAAACAAGAGGTTAAAAGTATTAAAGCTAGGGATAATAATTAGGAAAAGACAGAGGGCAGAAGAATGCCTAATATGTGTGGACAGAGTAAGAACATATTGTGAGTACAGGGCTCAAAATGCCAATGTTGTGGGAACACCTCGAGTTTTAAATTTAAAAGTATAAATTCAAAAATGATTTGTTTTATTTTGTTTTTTTCTATAAAGAAACATATTATTTTAATACTTTTTAAAAATACAATAAAGCAAAAATTTTCTAGCTCTGTTTTATAAATTCAATGTCTTCCTATATATAAATGCATTTTACAGCAGTTTGAAGTTCATAGCAAAATTAATAAAAAAAAATACACAGTTCTCATATAACCCCTACCACCACACATACACAGTTGGTCCCATTTTTCATATCCACCACAAGAGGAGTTATAAATTTGTTGCAATCTATAAACCTGCATTGACACATCAATATCACTCAATGTCCATAGTTTGTATTGGTGATCACTTTTGGTGTTGTACTTTCTATGGATAATAACATATATCCACCATAATAGTAACATATAGATTATTTTTACTACCGAAAATCTTCTATGTTCTCTTTATCCCCGTTCCTCTTTTACCCCTGGCAATCACTAATCTTTTTACTGTCGCCATAGTTTTGCTTTTCCAGAATGTCATATACTTGTGTTCACACAACATGTAGAGTTTCACATTTGCTGCATTCATTTAGTAAAATGCCTTTAAGATTTATCCATGTCCTTACATGGAGCTCGTTTCTTTTTCACACTGAAAACTATCCTGCTGTCTGGATATAGTAGAGTCTGTTTATCCATTCACCTATAGAAGGATATCTTGGCTGTTTTCCAGTTTAGCCAATTATGAATAAAACTACTATAAACAACTGTGAGCAGGATTTTGTGCAGACATAAGTTTTCAACTTCTTTGGGTAAATACCAAGGATCATGATTGCTGGATCATATGTTAAGATTATGTTTAGTTTTGTAAGAAACTGCCAAACTGTCTTCCAAAATGTTTGTGTATTAGGGTTCTCTTAGAGGAACAAAACAAACAGGATATATATATATTTTATTATATATTCATTATATTATATATTATATATTATACATAATGTATATTATATATTATATATTATACATAATGTATATTATATATTATATATTATACATAATGTATATTATATATTATATATTATACATAATGTATATTATATATTATATATTATACATAATGTATATTATATATTATATATTATACATAATGTATATTATATATTATTATACATAATATATATTATTTATTATATTTTATATTATATATTTATTATTATATATAGGGGAATTTATTTTATATATTATACATTATATATATAGGGGAGTTTATTAAGTATTTATTTACAAGATCAAAAGATCCCACAATAGGCTGTCTGCAAGCTGAGGAGCAATAAGAGCCAGTCTGAGTCCCAAAACTGAAGAAGCTGGAGTCCAGTGTTCAAGGGCAGGAAGCATCCAGCATTCGAGAAAGATGTAGGCTGGGTGCCTAGGCACATCTCTCCTTTTTATGTTTTTCCACTTGCTTTATATTTGTTGGCAGCTGATTAGATTACACCCGCCAGATTAAGGGTGGATCTGTCTTCCCCAGCCCACTGACAAATGTTAATCTCTTTTGGCAACAACCTCACAGACACACCCAGGATCAGTACTTCGTATCCTTCAATCCAATCAAGTTGATACTAAGTATTAACCATCACAGTCTGTATCATTTTGCATTCCCACCCGCAATGAATGAGAGTTCCTGTTGCTGCACATACTCACCAGCATTTGGCGCTGTCACTATTTTGCATTTTGCCTATATTAATAGGTGTATAGTGGTATCTCTTTGTTTTGATTTTCAATTCTCTAATGACATATGACATCGAGAACCATTTCATATGCTTGCTTGTCAACTGTCTATTACTGTATATCTTCCTTGGTGGCATGTTTGTTCAGGTTTTGTTTTTTTTTTTTTTTTTTTTTTTTTTTTAAGACAAGGTCTGGGTCTGTTGCCTAGGCTGGAGTGCAATGGTGTGATCTGGGCTTACTGCAACCTCTGCCTCCCAGGCTCAAACCATTCTCCCATCTCAACCTCCAGAGTAGCTGGGACTACAAATGCATGCCACAACGCCTGGCTAATTGTGTTTGTATTTTTGGTAGAGACAGGGTTTTGCCATGTTGCCCAGGCTGGTCTCAAACTCCTGGGCTTAATCAATCCTCTTGCCTTGGCCTCCCAAAGTGCTGGGATCACAGGCGTGACATGTTCTTATTCTTCAGTTTTAAGAGTTCTTTGTATATTTTGATAAAAATTCTTTAACAAGTATGTTATTTGCATATATTTTCTCCCAGTCTGTGACTTTTCTTCTCCTCCTCCTTGACAATGACATTCATAGAGCAGAAGTTTTTAATTTTAATGAAGTCTGACATCAATTATTTATTCCATGGGTGCTTTTGGTGAAAGTCATCACCTTAGCCAAGGGCATCTAGATATTCTCTCATGTTATCTTTTATGAGTTTTATAGTTTTGCATTTTATATTTAGGTTTATGATCCATTTTGTGTTATTTTTTGAAGAGTATAAGGTCTGTGTCTTGATTCATTTTTTTTTTTTTTTTGCCTGTGGATATCCAGTTGTTCTAGCACCATTTTTTGAAAACAAAATCTTTTCTCCATTATATTGCATTTGCTCCTTTGTCAAAGATCATTGGCTATTTTTGCAAGTCTGTTTCTCAGCTATCTATTCTGCTTCATTGAACACTTTGTCTCTTTTTCTCTCACATTATCTTTTGTTTGGTTGCATTATAGTGTACTCATCTAGCAATTCTCATAACTTGAAGTCAGCTTGTAAGTCCTTTTTACTGATTTTTCCCCATAGACACATTGTTTACTAGAATTTGCATCTTATTTAATCTTCTTACTTACTCCAGACTATCATGATGATATCTTTTATTGTAACTTAAACTACTTAAAGAACGTATGTTTAACAAAGTGTGACATTGTTTCTTATGTTCCTTGATGTATTAACAACAGCAAGTAGCCAAGGAAAGTACTAATTGTCTTTATACCAAGGTAGATTTTAATGAGTAGATATTTGTTGGATAAAATGATATTTTGGAGACCAAGAAAAATTGTTTTGTTAACCACATATTATTAAGATTACCTGTAAAAAAATAAACTGAATTTTAGAAATTAGAATCCATGATACCAAACCATAACAATGGCATCTTTGAAAATATTCTGAGAAAAATATTGTAGGTCTCCCAGTATTCTTTTTAAGCTGCATTTTTAGCTACAGTGTCTTCTGTATGGTAATTATTATTACTTATGTTTAAGATAAACTCCAATAAATACCTCTTTTCTCTGTCTTAGGGCTTAGAAATTGAGCAATAAGCCCCAAATCAAGGCAGATGAGAACCAAAATACCATTTTAAAAACTGATAAATATGGTTAATATCTGCTGCCAAGCAAATATTTAGTGCCAAGTAGACTCTTGGCACCAAATTAGCTTCACAAGCTGTTTACACAACCACAGTATTGTTAGACAAAGATAGGACTTCCTGTATAAGTCCCTGTCCATTTAACACTTATGGAGACATGGCTTCAGAAGCACGTGACCTAGACAGTCTCTCAGCGCCTCACACTTAGTTTAATGTTGTCATGTATCCATCTTGAAATTTTTAATAATTTTTTCTTTGAATTTGTGCTTGATAACAAAGCCTGATGGGCCAAAGAATCATGAGTATGAGCAGAGGAGAGATGCACAATGTTCCTGTCCCCTATTCCTGGCTTCTCTATTTGCATATAGCATTGACGATGTTCCTGAGTAGAGAATTCCAGTGAACCCACAATGCATGGATGTTCGGGAAGACATAAAGAGTATAAGATAAGCATCTTACTTTTGTGTCTGAGTAAGAGGGAAACTGACAGTTCCCAGAACCCACATTTCTTATTTAAAATGTAAGTTGCTTTTAATATAGAAAGGAGGCAGTGGTGTTCTAGAAAATATGAACAACTGAAGAACCCTGTTATAGCTTTTCTTATTCATGTTATTTCCTTGAATTAGCCAACAATTTACACTGAAATTGATAACATATAAGAAGTGAACATAATTTTGTTCACTAGTTCCTACTCTTCAGAAACTGAAGGTTGAGAGTGTTTGTAGAATGTATGCATTAAGACGTGAAATAAAAGTTTTTAATTAGTTCTGTGTAACATTTCTACTGTTTTAGTAAGAATGAAATGCATGTAGAAATATGAGCCACAGGATACTGACTGTGCATTTTTCTATTAAAAAAGAACATTGCACAATATAAAGATGAATGGTAACATTTCTGTTAATAATTTAAAATTTTACTTTTTCTTTACTTAGAACATTACACAACAAAGAAAAAAAAAAACACCAAGACAAGTGGAGAAAGAGCTCATAGAACAAATAAAAAACTTTGTACTTTAGTAGCTTTACAACACATTTTCCCACCATTTTCATCTTGCACAGAGACCCATAATTTAGGGTGTTTGCTCTACACAGATGAGTACATAAAAATGCATACTTATGTGCGCTTGGCTCTGAAGAGTGAAAGAAAAGAGTATAAAACAGCTACCTCACCTGCAGTTCATATTTCTAAACTCATCAGTGAAAGTCATTCCTCTCAGGTTAGGTGTGAGTGAGGAGTTGAAGGAAAAAACAGAGGCTTATACTAATGAAACTTCCACCTCATGAAAAGAAACACCAAGAGTGGAAAAAAGCACTGACATTGAAATTACTGAAGTTTTGTTTTGTTTTATTTTTCTCATACCCCATTGGGTTTAACCCATTTGGTTAAGCTACAAGTCCATGTTGGTATAGTATGATGAGAAGGTACTGGAGAAGATGAGTAGTCTATAATGGCCCATTCTGCTCCACTATCACTCTTGGTAAATCCTTTTTGAAAAGGAATTACAATATTATGTGTTTGCTGCAATTTCTGAAATGAGTAAGATCAACTCTATGATTAACAATATAGTCACAGCTGAAAAGTCACTCTTTATTCCATTTTTATTTCCAAATAATGTTCCTCTAAGTTTTACAATAGTTTATCAGTATTTATGAAATGATGTAGAATAAAATATTAAAAATCAAATGATAAATGCATAAAGATATGTCAGTAATAAAATTCCATCAACATAGAAATAATCCAAATTTAAATTTAAGCTCTCTTCCATTATCAAATTCCCAATGAGACATTATGGTCCATAGATTTAATTTCTTTGCAATCAAAGTCTCAGTATATTAAAACTCAAAGAGTTTAAGTCCTAAATCAATTATCTCACCTTTCAAAATTAAAAGTCCCGAGAATTTAAAGTCTTCTTTAATTAGTCTTATTCTATTTACTGCTTAGACAGAAGGTATTTATCCCTAGTAAGGACCTTGTCTGTTCGCAGTTACAGACTGGGCTATCTTTTATTGGAATGGTATAATTTGTCAGTTCCTCAAAACTTTCATTGGCATAATAACATAGATCTCAAGAGCTTACTTATAAATATGTAACAATTACAAACACACAGAATAGTACACAAGTCATGTGTGTGCAATTTGAAGTAATTGGGTAAAGTGAACATCCATATGCCCACCCTTTTTGTTAAAAATCAGGATACCCATGGCACCCAGTACCTCCCAGCTCTATGTTTTCTCAGTAATTACCACTCCATCTTCTCTGAAAGTAATTGTCCTTTTGACTTAGGTTATTATAGATTATTTTTGTTTGGTAAGGTTATTAATGGAATATTTTGTGTTTGTCTTCTTTCATAAGGTGTTTTGTTTATAATATTCATCAGTGTTTTTGCATGTAATCGTAGTTTGCTCATTTTTATTACATTTCACACATGAATTTAACACAACTTATCCATTTTACTGTTGGACAAGTATTATTGTTTTCTTTTTGTGTCTATTCTGACACTTTTCTCTCAGTGAACATATATATTCATTTCTGTAGGGTATATAACTGTGAGTGGTCAAAGTTATATATTGGCCCACATTTAATTGATATTGCCAAATACTTTCTCACTTTTATGTACAGGGTTACTTTCCTGTCAGTAATGTGTGAAAGTTCCCTTTCCTCTACAACATTTGATTTTTTTTTTTTAAGTTCATGTTTCTGGTGGTGTGGTGTTATCATACTAAATGTTTTACTTTAATTTCCATGCTGACTAATCAAGCTGAAGCATTTTGCATTTTATTCTATGCACCAGCTTTCCTTCGTTTTTGTTTTTGTGTTTTGTTTTGTTTTCTTGAGACAGAGTCTCGCTCTGTAGTCCAGGCTGGAGTGAAGTGGCACAATCTCAGCTCACTGGAACCTCTGCCTCCCATGTCCCGGTTTAAGCAATTTTCTTGCCTCAGCCTCCCCGGTAGCTGGGGTAACAGGCACGTGCCACCACGCCCAGCTAATTTTTGTATTTTTAGTAGACACGGGTTTCACCATGTTGGCCGGGCTGGTTTTGAACTCCTGACTTCGTGATCCGCCCTCCTCAGCCTCCCAAAGTGCTGGGATTACAGGCGTGAGCCACACCATGCACCAGCATTTTTTTTTTCTTTCTTTTTTTTTTTTTTTGAGATGGAACATCACTCTGTCGCCCAGGCTGGAGTGCAGAGTGGCGCCATCTCGGCTCACTGCAAGCTCCGCCGCCGGGTTCACGCCATTCTCCTGCCTCAGTCTCCGTAGTAGCTGGGACTACAGGCGCCCGCCACCACGCCCGGCTAATTTTTTTGTATTTTTAGTAGAGACGGGGTTACACCGTGTTAGCCAGGATGTGTGCACAAGCTTTTAAGGTAATAATCAAGTTACGTCAATGAAGAGAAGGGAAAACAGTTATAGAGTAGGCAGTTCACATTATCTGTCAGTTCTTTGAAGTTTTAAGGTATAAGTACACTCTCTTATCCCCAATTAAATCATTTCCTCAACTAAATCTGCCTATTAAGATCTCTGTTGTTCCAGCCTCTCTTGATACCCTTTCTTTCTGACAATCTGTACAAGTATAATTTAAGATTGAATAATGCAACTGGCACCCTCAGGCTAATTGAATAAGCTAACATCTTCAGAATCTATGCTTTCTTGAGGCTCCGTCAATTCTGTATGTTTGCTTGGCTGAGGTGGTCATGTAAGTAGCATTTTTACTTACCTGCTGAGATCTACTTGGCCAGTGTTTCATTTCAGATTATGCTGGCTTTGATACTTTGTTAAAAGTCCAATCATTCATATTGCTTTATTGAGGGCTTCTTGCCTTTGCTGTAGGCTTTAGGCATGCAGACCATTCAGCAATTCACTGAGAGTCTGCACAGTGCTGCTTCTATAAAAAGATAGGTTGCTATAGATGAACCACTGTGAGCTGTTCTATAGATGTGAAAAATACTGAAAAGCATCACCAAAGTTAAAGTCTCCCACCCTGTTAGCACCATAAATCTTAGTAACTTCACAGGTATTTTGTTTTATGGAGCAAGACTTCCAAATTAAGCTTGTCATTTCCTTATAGGAATTTATTCCAGAATTTAAGGGTTATGTAACAAAATCTATCATTCTAGCAAAAGTCTACCTAATGTCCTAGAGTTCAAACATTTGTGGGCATAATTTAGACAATGTAACATTTAGTCTTATTTAGTTATATTGGTTGATTAATTTTTATATTTTACCATAGCAATAATTCACTGTGTTTTACAACCTACCAGCTTTGGATAGAGGTGCCACACCGTACTTACACATGGTTGATATTCAAAATATGAATACAGATACTAACCACAACATTGAAACAGAGTTCTAGAGGATGCCTCTCACTCTAGGCATTATTAGATTAGTAAGGTGGCTCATGGAGGAGGTTCAGGGATCCCAGAAGAAGGAACCAAGGAAGCCAGATCAGGAGAGTATAGAGGAAGTTTTGGTCAAGAGATAGTTATTAACCAGCACTGCTATGAATATTTCACATTCTATTCACACATTGAATTTGAACTGAATGTCATCCCTTACCCTAACATATTTCAGCTCATCCATTACCACAATTTAGAGATTTCATGTTACATTCCACATCCTGGTAATGGTTTCCGCATGAGTTTTGTCAGTAAAAGTGGAAACTGTCAGAAGTTAGCATTTGTATTAGTCATTATGGGCTAGACAGTGCTGTGGAATAATCTCAAAATCTCAGTGGTATAGAACAATTTATTCAACTTCATGTCCTTCAGTAATCAACAGGGTTCTTTACCTGAGGTCACAGGCTGATGGGCCACCAACATAAAGCACACCACCAGTCCCTATGGCAGGGTTAAAGAGCACAGTGTCTACAGCACTGGCATTCACAATCTTCTTACACCAATTTAACTTATATTTTACTGGCCAAGATAAGTCTAAGCTTGCCAAGGACACAGTTAAATTCGAGGTAGCAGGAAAAACCAGAAATATTTACTACCAAAGAATGGAAAGTGGCCTAGGAAATCTTACTTCTCAGTTATTCAAGAAATAAAAATTCTACTCCCTTTCTGTCATTCAAGTAAAAGTCTTTGCATAGGCAACAGGTAGACTTTTCCAGAATAACTTGTGTCTCATCCTCATCAATGGAGCTGGATTCTTTAACTTAGAATGAATAAATGTGGCTCAGAAATATAAAAATAATTAAAGTATTATCAACCCCAAACAAAGATATGCCAAGCAGAAAAAACAACAAATATCCATTACACCAGATAACATAGATACCAAAACATCTGATCACATAATTCTCTCAAATTGTTGGGCGTTTTAGATTCTCCTGAGACTAAAGCAAATAAATAACACAATTAACAGAATTTTTGCCAGTATCTGAAAGTGATGATACACTTCAAAGGGGCACTTTATTCCTTGTAATATAAACTCTTTTTTAATAGGTTTTATTTTTATTTGTTTTTTGCTTGTGAAGGTGGTGCCATTTTGGTTTCAAATGGCTTATCATTTATCTGTTTGCTTATTTATTTTTGTAACATGGGTAATGTTTTTTGCATTATGTATTTTTAACATTAGCTGCATCCAGATTGTCAGTACTAAGAATAGTATTTGATTGTTAATTCAGCTGTCAGGAAAAAAATTAGTAATGTTAACTCTATTATCCCTGCCAGATTTCTTTAAAAACTGAAGTGATCGTGTTGCTATTGATTTAAAAAAGACATAGAATAATGCTCTAGTCTCATGGAAACTTGCATTTGTGACATACTGATGTGACTCTGATAAAATGAAGATATGTTGGCTGAAGAGGTGTTTTCTGAAACTCTGAGGCATATCATCATGTGGAGGAAGTGGAAACAAGGAAAGGGTCATTAGCTTTATCAATGGATTTTCAATGTTTACTTAGCCTATTTTGGGCTAAGTAAAAGATGCTCAGATAAACACATATCAGCAAGTGCAGAAAGAGATTGCTTGGTCAGGAAGCTTTCAAGGGCTCAATAATACTGCTTGTTGGAAATCCTTTTGAGCCATTGAAGCTTTAAGTCCTTTTTGCTATTAATATTTTTGGCTGATTAAGCAAAATTGACTTAAAAAGGGTTTTTTCAGAATCTATGAAACAGAATTCCCTTTAAATTCCGTGAGTTGATGTAGATCATATTACATTCCAGGAATTCTGATAGTTAAGAATGGCTGAGTTAAGAATGGTGCCGAGTGCATGGTATATGTGTTGAAAGAAATAAAGAAAAGGAGAATGAACTGGAAAAGTTATCAGAAGCCTTAAATAATGCCTTTTTGGGGTTACTGACAAGTAGGTCTTATACTTAAGAGAGTGCAGTATATATAGTGTTTACAATTGAGCATTAAAGTGATTTATTTAGTGCTAAAAACAAAATAAATACATGCATATATAATCTTATTTGGATGTTACATGGCATATTAAACACAAGTATGTAATTCTTATAGCAGCTAGGATTATTGGTTTAGAATTTTCATTTCCCTGTGTTAGTGCACAGCACCCCTTACAGATGGCCTCATAGTCATGCAACTTGCTCTCACAATGGGATATTAATATACTTGGCAAGAGCAGAGTTTTGACTTGTTTTCGTGTGTATCTGTCATTACTTCTTCATTACAAGGGATGCTTTGAGTTTCACAGAGTAGAAACAGCTCCCAGACTACAGATGAGCCCGTCAACTGACCTGCAGATGTACGCATGAGAAATATAAATGTATATATATATTTTCCAAGTTTCCATTGTGTTTGTTACTCAAGAAATGCTGACTGATACACCTCCACCTCTATGTTTTTCTGATATATTTTTAAAATGATGGTAAGGAATAAAAATGAAAGTCTATACCTACATATGCAAAAAGAATCAGAGAAAAAATAATCAATTTTTTAAGAAGCATGAAAACATACTAATAATAGCCAGGGACTCCACAGAGCAGAGGAAAAACTAAGAACTTGTAGTGAGAGAAAGCAGAAAGAAAGATATTTTGCATGCAGGTAGCCTGAAAGTTTTAGGAGGTAGAAATTCAAATTTTTTGCTAAAGGTGGAGGCTTAGATGAAGCTGAAAAGCAAATGTTCCATGGAAAGTCTTTAAGAAAAACAATCAGATTTCTAGATCTCTGTCACTATCCAAAATAATAGATCAGATACTCCTTGACCACCTGGCAGTAGATTCAGTAGCTTAACCAAAGGAATTGACAATGATAGGAGGAATAGGAGAAAAACAAAGAAAAAAACAAAAAATTGGTGTTACACTAAAGAAGAGAAGGACTGTTTCTAGAAGAAAGCAGTGTTGAACAATATCATATGCTATGCAGAGGTCAAACAAGTTAAGGACTGAAAAGTGTCCTGTGGGTTTATTTAATGTTGGCTCTTTGTAACCACCAGTTTTTCAGTGAGATCAAAGTAGAATTTACCTTGAGGTAATTTTCAAAGTGAATTAGATTGAGGAAATGAATACAGTGACTGGTTTGAGGCCCTTCCTGAAGCCTCCAAGCACAGGGAGAATAGAGAAGCTATGTTGCCTGGAGACAGCCAGGGAGTCAGAGTGTTTCTTACTTATTTATTTGTTTTTATATAAAAAAGAGATTCTTGGTACATTTAAATGTTGAAGGACAGGAAAGAGTAGAGAGAGAAATTTCTGATGCAACAAAGAAAAGGAGGAAACTATGGATCCATTCTCTCTTTTCTGATTTCCATTTTTTAGGTGAAAGACTTTCAGTGTGATTCCTTTATGTTTTTGATAAAAATCCTACTTTTTGGTATTTATTGAAAACAAAATTAAATTAGGTGCAAATTTTATTTTGCTTTTCTTTAGCTAATATTTCAAATGTATTTTTTTATTTCATGAGTAACCTGTTTTCCTTTACATTGCAGAATATTTCTATAAGTCCCCTGTCCATAGGAGAGACTGTGGATACTCCCATCTACAGGTTTCCTGCCTTATAGCTCAGTGTGTGTAGAATTCAAACTGCCAGAACTGCTTCTCTTTGTCTCAGGCCTTTTCCCAAACCTTAGTGTTTGTGCCCTAAAAGAGAGAGGCCAAGAAATTAACACTTACCACCCCCTATCCCTAAACCAAGACTGACAAGAGTTGATGTGTGATTTCCTCAATTTCTTGGCTAGCATGGTCATATAACATTGAGTTAGGTGTTTTAAACAGTTTCCCAGGCAGAATTAGGCTTTAGTCACTTGCAGCTGTAATTAACTTGACAACACACTTATCCCTTACATTTCCTCACTCCTATATCAGCCTTTGTTATACCTCTCAAATAAAATACCTCAGCTAGCATCCTTGTCTTAGGGTCTATTCCTAGAGTAGCTACTTTTTCTTGATTTTTTTTTCTGAATACTATTATAATATTTGCCTTGATTTTAAGGGTATAAATGGACATGGTGAATTTATTTAACAGGCCAGCAGTACTATAACCTGAAAGGCTTAGATAGAGAAATGGACCAGTGGACACTCTGTAATTTATCTTTGAGCTATGGGGTGTGTGTGTGTGTGTGTGTGTGTGTGTATGTGTATGTGTCTGAAGTCACTTACTGTCAATCAGTCAATATCCTGATTGACTTATTTGGCATATCCAGCTGTAGGAAAGCCCAGTTTGCTTATTCCTAACAAACATACTGTCAAGTTAGAGACAACCTTACATTATTCTATCTTCTGTAGATACCAAGGACCTTGCAGCTTTTTCTTTCACTATTTTAAATGGCTACTGACTACTGCAGTAAAAGTGTGTGCTCCCAACATATTCCATGTGTAATCTCTATTTCCTGCCTTTGCTACCTCCAATTAGGTGATAATAATGATGTTTATTTGGCATCCCTTGTGGACATATTACTTTCTTTTAATAGAAAGTTATAATTAAGTTCAGAGAACCTTCCTGCAAACTTGTCCTATGCACATTATGCCTAATATACTCTTTACAACTTATGAAATGCAAGCACTAATCTTTCCTAGCTCTGCATAGCTCCACAGAATTTAATTTTTCTTAATTTTTCTAAAATTGTAAAAAATTCACTGGGAGTCTTTGATGGAAAGTTATGTAACTTGATTCTTACAAACAGAAATTGGAGGATGTCAGAGAAAGCAAAAGCAAAAAACCCAGGAGGTGCAAATTTAGAAAATCATGTCATACATGACAAAGTGTTGAATGAACCACATTAGCTGTCGTTCAACTTACAAAGCTGAGAATAAATCATGGAAATCCTTAAATGGAATAGTAAGTAATTTGGACTTAGCTTATTAGAGATGAAAAAGCCTTAGAAATTTTGGAGTAGAACAGTCATGACGAGTAGTTTAGACATAGTAGGCTGAAAACTAAGCCTATTTGGAAATATGAGTTAAAATTGGAAAGTAATTTTGATACTTTAAAATAGCGTATGTAAGATAAAATGTTTCCTAAAACTAAATTAATGACAGTAGGAATAAACGTGAAGTATTGAAGAAACAAACAAACAAACAAAACACAAAATTCCCACCTGCGGGGTAAAGCTTGCAATTAGTCAACCCTTTAACAGATTTTAACCCAGAATGATTGGTAGAAGTAGGCTGCAAGTTCCCTTTGGTGGCTCTGTGAAACAGAAAGATACAAGGATTTCTGTGGTCTGATAAGAAGTAAATCAGAAAGTTGTACATTGGGGTTTATTACTATGTTTATCAGCTGATGGTTGAAAAGAGATGTTTGGAAATCATTACAATAAATGCAATTACTTTTATAATGTTCAGCAGTCAATTCAGTATGTGAGCTATGACCTGCTGTAGTGTTTAGGAACACAGACTACATTAGAGAGTCAAATTCTTTAGCTGGTCATGTAAAAATTACTCTCCTAAGCTTCATTTCCCTCATCTTTTAACAGGAACAACAGAGCATATACCACAGAATTATTATAGAGACTAAAAGAAAAAAAATGCACTTCAAGCATTTAGCAAAGTGCATTTTACCTGGCAAAAACTCAATTCATGTTGATAATGATGAAGTTAATAATGAAGATGATCATTATAGTGATGATACTGTGGATGATGGTATTCAACATGATGATATTTATAATGATGTCAATGATGATCAGGAAGATAATTTCTATTTCCTCTTTAATTGGATAAAATGTCCAACTTTGAAGGGATAAACAACAGAATATTACTCTTTGAACCAAATGCAAATAACACATTTATAGACCTCTCACTATACTCTTCTTATGTGGTGATATGGTTAGGCTTTGTGTCCCCACCCAGATCTCATCTTGAATTATAATCCCCATAACCCCCCTAGCCCCACTTGTCAAGGGATAGACCAGGTACAGGTAATTGAATCATGGGGTCAGTTTCCGCCATGCTGTTCTAGTGATAGTGAGTGAGTTCTCATAAGATCAGATGGTTTTGTAAGGGGCTCTTCCCGCTTCACTCAGCACTTCTCCTTCTTGCCACCTTGTGAAGAAGGTGCCTTTCTTCCCCTTTGCCTTCCATCATGATATTAAGTTTCCTGAGGCCATGCTGAACTGTGAGCCAATTAAACCTAATTCTTTTATAAATTACCCTCTCTCAGGCAGTTCTTTATAGCAGTATGAAAATGGACTAACAGATGAGGCTATCTAAGTATATAATTCAATAGAATGCAAATAGTTTTCACTATAATTTTGACAGACCACATTTCTTATTCTTAAATGATGAAGATGTCCTTCCCACTAATATAGTCATGCTTCACAGGAGCAGTTTTACAAGCACCACATCTGCCACACACAGGTAGCAGTAAGTATAATATTCTAAAATGTATCTTTAATCTATGTCTGTCCTTAATTATGATTAATTTGAAAAACCTGGTCACTGTATTATGTCCGACATAATTGACATCAGACATGTATTATATTTAGGATATTTTATGTGCATTTAAATATATATTTCTTTAAACAACTTATCAATGTTGGCTAGTCATTCTTATATTTCTCCTTGAATGATACTGACTTTCCTGTCACCCTTAGACACCTTTTAGAATTTATGTCAAAGATTTTCATGGTAGCTACACTTTTTAGTTGTTTTATAATTAGTAAGTTTATGAGGGCATAATGGCCTATTATCCTCTACTGATTTGTTTGAAATTTGTTATGACTTTAAAAAGTAGAACTTTCAAAGTTAATGAACATTATAGATAGGAATTATAAACAGAATATTAATAAGAACTGATAATTAAACCAAATAGGTCTTTTCTATGTTTAAAATCATCAAATAAATGTGCCTGGCATTTGTATTATTTCCATCTATTTGACTTCATTTTGTATTGCTGTAACAGAATACCACTGGAAGGTCCAAGATCCAGGGGCCCACATCTGCTAAGGGCTTTCATGCCGTGTCATCCCATGAGGAAAGACAGAGGGTAAGAAGGCATGAGAGACAAGAGAGGGCCAAACTCACTTTTATAACCACCCACTCTCATGATGACAGTCAGGCCCCTTCTGTGATAACAACATTAATCCATTCATGAGGGCAGAGCTCTCGTAGCCTAATCACCTCTTAATAGTCCCACCTTTTTTGTTTGTTTGTTTGTTTTTTTTTGTTTGTTTGTTTTGAGACGGAGTCTGGCTCTGTCGCCCAGGCTGTAGTGCAGTGGTGCCATCTTGGTTCACTGCAACCTCCACCTCCTTCAAGCGATTCTCCTGCCTCAGCCACCTGAGTAGCTGGGACTTCAGGCACACATAACCTCGCCCAGCTAATTTTTGTATATTTAGTAGAGACGGGGTTTCACCATGTTGGCCAGGATGGTCTTGATCTCCTGACCTCGTGATCCGCCCTCCTCGGCCTCCCAAAGTGCTGGGAGTACAGGCATGATTTACCGCGTCCAGCCAATAGTCCCACCTTTTAACAACATCGCAATAGCAATTAAATTTCAACATGCGTTTTAGAGGGGACATTCAAACCATAGCACCTTCAATGTAAGCAACAGAATAATGTACTCCATCTTAAATTATTGAGTGTAAGTTTTATTTTAGGAAATTATTTATCTTATCAGAAACTATTTCCAGAGATTTGTATCCATTGCTTCAGTAACAAAGTAATAGCTACTTAGAATTGTGTGTATATTTATAGAAAGAGTATTTTATTTTAATAGAACCATATAACTTTCCAGTAATATTGGAGAATATTTTCCAAAATGAGGGCAAGTGATTGCACTCTTTTCTAATGCATTATCTTTATTAAATATTTGACTTTAAAGCACCATCCGTCTTTACTCCTAATAATATACATTTATTACATATACTATATTCCTTAGTGATAATACTTAAATCCAAATCATATCTGAAGTTGATTATGACCGTCTGTCTAGGAAGATCACCTATGCGATGTATTGAGTAATGGCTATTACCATACACTTTAGTTTTCTAAATGCATCATGTAATTTATTTAGGTGCATATTGCTGGAATTGACTTGAAGGTAGCCTGATACATTTTTCACTTATTTTCTAACTGTTGCCTATGCTCTTTTGCACCACATAATGTTTTAAATTAGTAACTTGAAGCCATTTCATTGAATGATGTTACCTATATAGTCTATCCAGCAAGGCAGTTATTGTCTCCAAATTCATACTTATTGCAACAATGGAAATTTTAATCTAAAGGAAAACACCTTTTAGTAATTGAGCCTAATTTTAAAGTACCTTTTCAAAAGCTTTTATCTATAAATGTATGCACACCTACCTCACATTAAAATGCCCAAGGGATGGAATTTTGAATAAAAATAGCAAAATAATTAAGCTATTCTTCAGGTTAATCTTTTTTTCTGAGAAATTCTTAATAGGACTTACATTTATACCCATTCAGATTGTCCACAATAATAACTGTGATCCTTGTTAAGAATGTGTAAACAGAAAAGAATTAAGTTTGTCTTCCATTTTATATTCTATAAATTAGACAGTGTTCTGTAAATATAAAACTGTCTCCAAATTAACTTTCTATTTACAAAACAACTCCAGAGATGTCAAACTCCATTACTAATGTTAGGAATGATGCTCTAAATTAGCCTGAAAATAGCAAGTGGGAAATAAACATATAAAATTACTGATCCAAAGAATCACAATAAAAATACACTCTTTAAAAATGCATAGAAGCATAACAATTCCCAATGATTTTGCACAAATTTGTAGTCAATTTAAAATGTTTTACTGCCAACAGAGAAAGTGAAATGCTTTTCTGAAAGGAATGGAATATAATCAAAATTGTTGTGTTATTCTTCTGTTGTAATTTGACTGCCAGAGTATTGCTATCAAAATTAGTATTAAATTAATTATAACTAATTATCGATTATTATATGTGCAAAGCCAATATCACATTACTTAGTAGAAAGTAAAATAAGGGCAAGTTTTGATTTTAGATAGCTAACATATAGTTTAGAAGAATAAACACATTCAAAATCTATGTACCAAAAAAGTATCAAACAAATTAATATTCAGCACTATAGTATAATTGATCCTAGAGTAAGTTGATCAGTCAGAAGCTTAGTCAATTTTTGGAAAAAAATATATAGAGGCAAAATGTTCAAAAGATACAGGCTGGAGATTGGGAAAGTATGTAGTAGCTTAGAAAATATGTAAATATGCAAAAATAATAGGTGCTGATGGTGATGAAATTAAGACAGTTTAAATGTAGCAAGAATCATACTTATTACTCCAATTTCAAACTTCAGATTTTGCATCCACTTGGTTTATTCAAATTTATCCTTACCTTATTTCTGGGAGACATAAAAGACATTTTATTTCTATTACAAAAAATACGACCTAAGCAGAGTTTAATTTACAAAATCACATGTATATAGATAAATATTGTGTTCTAATCAAAAGTTGTGGCATGTTGGAGCTAAGCATAAACAGAATTCAGAGACGAACGTTTCCATTAAAGATTTCTGAAAATGTACTTGCCTCATTCAAATTGACTCTTATGTTCATTAAATCTAGATACAAGTTTCTTAAATGTGCACCTCACTTTTACCTTGACAAACTTATTCAAAGTTAATGATAGAAAAAATAAATTATTCTTTGTCATCCAATTTCTAGAAGGAGACTGGCAACTGCCAAAGGGTAGATCAAAAAGCTTGCAGGTAAAAATTATTACCAAGTCCCATGATTCTAGAAGCTACATTTTACAGTTCTGTCTTCAATAAAAGTGACAAGTAAAGCTATTGTCCATTCTGCTTTAAAAATAAATCCCTCAGAGTAATTTTTAGAATAGTTTTGGTTGTTTGTATCAAGTTGCACTTGAGCCTAGATTTTAGTAGTAGTGGATTATTTTATCCAAAGGGAAATAGCAGTTTCCAGCCCATATATTATGCCTTAAAAATATTGACTTATGTTTCTCTTCAGATTACCATAATGTAAAAGAGTTCAATGAGCTCTTTGTTTCCCATAGGATCCTGTTCTCTGCAAATGCAAACAGTTCTTTTATTACAAGGCTTTTTCAAGGGGAAGAGAAAACTCATTTGGCAGATAAGGTTAACCTTTTAAAAAATCAAGTGTGTTAAGCTCAAGGTGACTATGCAGATAAATCAGGTATATGATTCATATCTTCCCAGACTGAAATATATTATTTTATATTTATCTTAGTATGCTTATTGTTTGTGCTAAGATACTGAAATCTAATGGAAACTAAACTAGTATTATTTTTTCCTAGCAAGGAGAGTCAGATCCAGAGAAAAGTGACACATCTAGATACAAATTCTAGGATCTTCCCGCCTTTCAGTATCATCACTGCTTTTCCACTTTGACACTATATGAACTTCTAGGTTTCATATGAAACATTCTGTATTATTTTCAGAAATAAAAGAAGCTTCATACAAGATAAATGGCTAAGATGGCTTAACCTGTGTAAAATGTTACTAGAGCTTCCCAACTCATCTGAACTTACACCCCTACCTCTAATTCTTCTGAGATGGAAACCGAAAGGTGTGTTAAGAGCCTGATTATTTGTGGTTATGAGGTAACCGAAAAGGATTGTGCAATAAATATAAATGTAACCCATGTGGGTTAAGAAATAAATACCTTTTTTTCATCATTATCCTTAACATCAATGTGTTGAAAGAAAAACCTTAGCAAAAATAAATTTATCTGACTTTAATTGAGCAAAGAACACTTTACAAATTGGGCAGCCTCTGGAGCCAGAGGAAGTTCAAAGACTCCAGTGCAGCCACATGGTGGGAGGAGGTTTACAGACAGAAAAAGGAAAATGAGGTACAGGAAATGGAAGTGAAGTACAGAAAAAGCCATATTGGTTAAGCTCTGTGTTTGCCTTATTTGAACATGATTTGAACGGTTGGCCACCTTTGATTGGCCAAAACTCAGTGATTGGCATAAGAGTAGGCTGTTTACAACTCCCTTTAGGTTGTACAGTCTGTTTACAACTCCCCTTAGGTTGTAGTTCACGAGGTACAGAGACTTAAAATATGTAAGGAGGCAGCTTTCAGCTACACTTGATTTAACAATAGCAAACATTATATCATGCCTGGCTAAAGCACTTAAATTAGCAACTTATTCAATTGTAATTACTCTATGAGATGATACAATAGTGGGCCACTTATCCAAGACAACTCATATTATGCTTCATAAAATTTGTAAAATCAAATGCTTAATTTAAAAAATAGCATTTGTAATCCCAGCTACTCCGGAGGCTGAGGCAGGAGAATTACTGGAAGCCAGGAGGCCGAGGTTGCAGTGAGCCAAGATCGTGCCACTGCACTCCAGCCTGGGAGACAGAGCAAGAGTACCTTTCAATCAAATTAATTAATTAAAATAAATAAATAAAAACTTTTATCCTGTATGCTCTTTCTCTACCCTGCTATCATGTGCAGTAGCTTAGTATGGTACAAATTAGAGAAATTCAGAGAAAGTACATCTGCTCTGCAAATTGTCAACATTCCTAGGCCTAAACTAGTAAGGGAGTACCAGGAAGAGCTATACAGCAAAAAGTCAAAGTCATGCAGTGAGAATGATTAGCATTTTTTAGTTCTCATACTATGTTTTTGCTTAACTCAGTGATATACAGCTTTTCCCACCTAATTTGAAGGCATGCACAGTTCTTAACTTTATTTCTGTTTGATTCCTTTGTCTGCAATTCAGTTTATTCAAAACTAGAAGGACTGAGGAGAAATGTGATGAATTATGTACAGGTTATTGATAACCACTCCTGTAAGTGTCAAGGAAATTGTGTCTCCAGTATAGGGAATGAGGCTGCAAAATTATCCACTTTGGGAAATCACACATTTAGAGAAACATTAAGTTAGAAAAAAGTGCCTCGAGAAGGGAAAATCAAATATAAAAAGCCTATTTCTGAGTCTCAATTTTGGACCTATGTCTCAGGATATTGGACCTAAGGTGCATTTGGAAAATGTCATCACAATAGAAATAAACAAACGTGTATGTTTGCTGTAATGATTCATCCATGCAGTGACTAAAGTTAACTGGACATAAGCCATGATGAACCATGGAATAAATCCACAAATTAAGGGAAATAACACTATTCTGAAGTGAGCTTTATAGTTGGGGGAGAATATATAAGTGGAGGATAGATGTATTTAACACAAAGAACTATTTGTACATAGAATTTCATGAGCTCACCAGAGGATGTCTAATACTGGCTAGTTGTGATAGAGACAGGAGACAGCCAAGGGTCCCCAGCGAAACTCTGCCTTCAAGCCTAAATCAGCCTGAAGGCTGAAAAACTGGACTGCTAGTCCCGGAAGAAGCCCACATTTCCCGACTGATTCTCTCGGAATAATGCCCACCTACAAACTGGGAGGACGAGGTGGAGCCTCTGAGAGTTCACGCAGTTTGAATTGGGGGGGAGCCTGACCTCTTCAGTTCCCATGTGGTGACCTGGGATTCAATTTGTGAGGTGGGAGACCTGCTAGCAGGACTCTCTCTGGCTTTGCCGAGAGTTATTTTTCCTTTCCTTTTTGCCCAATTAATTCCACTCACCTTTCTATGTCCACAAGCCTAATCTTTCCTGGTCTGTGACAGAAACCCAGTTTTAGCTGAACCCTGGAGAAAGTTCTGCAACAGTTGGAAACTATCTTTAAACATTTTTATAAGTGCATTTTTTTTCAGGAAGAAATATATATTGGCTCTTGTCACTGGTTCCTGTCACAGAGCTAAAACCTTTGTAGTTTCCTGTGTTGTTGGAGTGATAGGAGGAGATTTTATTCTAATCTGGTGGCTCTTGCCAGCCCCTAGATAGCTTCAGGATGGGGGGGTTGGATGCCAGAAACCTCAAGCCTTGATTAGAAGCCTGAAACTTTCCCCTTCAACCTTTGGGGAGAGGAAAGGAGCTAGAGATTAAATCAATTGATTATTCCAATGTGATGAAACCATGAAAATCCCTAAATAATGGGGTTCAGAGAACTTCCAGATGGTGAATACTACCATCTTCCCAACTCCACAGAGATTGAAACTACCGTGCTTGGGACCCTATGTGCGTCTTCATCTGGCTGTTCATTTGTATCCTTTATAATAAACCAGTAAAGTGTATTTCTGAGTTCTGTGAGTTATTCTAGCAAATTATTGAACCTGAGGAGGTTGTCTTGGAGCCCCTAATTTATAGCCAAGTATAAGAGACCCAGGACTTATGACTGGCACCTGAAATGGGGTCTGGCAATCTTATGGGACCGAGTCCATAACCTGTAAGCTCTGCATTAACTCAGGGTAGTTAGCGTCAGAATTGAATAAAACTGTTGAACACACTTGGTTAGTATCCAGAGAACCAGAGAACTGGTTGTTGATGTTGAAAAACACTACAGAATTTCAAAAAAGAAAAGAGACAGGTGGATGTCAAACAAGACTATAATAGACCCAGTCGTTTTTGTTAACCATGGTGAGTCAAGTCATGAATTGTCTTTGGAACTAGTAATAAATGTGAGAGTTATCACCAAGAAAATAGGCATACCCTTTTGCCAGAGATGGAGTGAAGGAACTTTTAATTGTAGTTAGGTTATCTCACTGACATGATCCAGTTTTGGCAAACTTCTAGGCAAAGAAATGTCGTGTTATCAGAAGAGTGAAGAACCAGAAATGAGGTGGCTATGTCCTAACCTCCCAAAAGTACCTCTAACAAGCAAAGTCCAAGAGATGGGGAAAATTGGTCTCTAACTCCAGATGGTGTTTCATAGTTAGCAAATATTTAAGAGTTATTTGATAAAATCTACTGACACCTAGAAGTTTGTTTTGCTTTAGTTATGGGACACATTTGCTGCAGTTTGTGGACATAGTGATAACTGTGTGAACTGGGATAGCATAGGTTGTACTGCAGTAACAACACTAATCACCACAAACACAAGAAAAAAAATCTCACTGACATCAAACAACAAAGGTTTATTTCTTGCTCATTGTACCTATCCACATGGGCAGCTTGGCCACTTGGTTTAATCTTGTTCTCCTCTCTCTGAGACCTGGAAAGAAGGAAAGAGTACTATTGTGGGAAAGAGAAAAGATAATACGAATAGTTTCTCATCAGGAATTAGATGCAATAAGCTAAAAATGACATGTGACTTTCACTTATGGCTGACTGGTAAGAGTTAGTTTAAAGCTCCAATAAATCACAAAGAATCAAAAAGTAGAATGTTACTATGTGTTTAGAAGAAAGAATAATTGGAATTTGATCAAATAATGTCAATGACTTTGAGATATTTTCTGCCTTCTACCTATGCTTGTTCTAGTTATTCTTCTAAGCAATTTTATTCTCTCTACACATACACACACACGTGTGTGTGTGTGTATGTATGTATATGTATATATATGTATTCCTCATGACTTTCTTAAAATAATTTTTTACCACCTGTGAGATAAAATATGGAATTACAAGGCTGCAGGGGAAAAAATTAGATCTTTTTCTTACCAACTAAAAAGTTTATGACTGAGACCCTACAACAAAAGACAGATTAACAAAGAAAAAACACATACATCTATTTCTTACGAGTTTTATGTGACATGGTAGCCTTCAGAAACAAAGACCTAAAAGAAACAAGATAAACTGTGTATTTTCAAGTGTAAATTTGATGGAGAGCAGACAGCTGTGTGTAAGTGTAATTGGACAAAAAGGGTATGATCTTGTTACAGTAGTTAGTTAGGGATGCACAGGGCAGGAGAGGGATCCCCCACCCACGAGGAATGTCAGGCGACAATCAGGTGATGGTCTAGCAGTTATCACACTGCCTGTCTAAAAGCGATAATTGGTTGGGCTGGTGCCCGGGAGAGGCAATTTCCTGATGGTCCAGCAGTTGTCACACTAAAATGATAATTGGTCTCAGGCACCAGGGAGAGGCAATTTCCCAAGGGATAAAAACATTTGAAATTGGTAATCAGCAGCTTCCAATAAAATCTCAGGAATTGGGTGAGTAAACTCCAGCATGTGCATTAGGAGACAAAATGGCAGGGTATAACCTTCCAGAAGCATTCCACCAGAAAAGGTAAAAATGCCTCAGGCGATCATGCATACAACTCCAGCAAACACTGTGCATGTTCACCTCTCAAGTGTTAGCAGGCCACCTTGCATGTGGGCAGCCCACCCTAAGGGAAGAATCACAGGGAAAGGGACGCAAGGCCCTGCAAGTATGCCAACATATAAAACCCCAAGTCAAATGCCTCACTTGACCTCCAAAGTGCCTGCTTGGATCTCTTTCAAGTGCACTTTCCGTTGTTTCCTGCGACAGAGCTTTTTAATAAACTTCCACTCCTGCTCTGACACTTGCCTCGGTGTCAGTGTCTTTTTCTGCCTCATGCCCCTCAGTCAAATTCTTTCTTCTGAGGAGACAAGAATTACGGTTGTTGCAGACCCATAGGGATTCACCACCGTAACTCGGTTATTTGCCACCACTAACTATCTGATGGGAATAAACTCCAGGGGGAGAGACTTAGCATAGCCTGTTTCTTCAGTTTCTTCTTGGCATCTCTGTGTCTTCATTGATGCCCTCTGGGTATAGAGAAGGATCCTCACGAATGAGGGTCTTATGATTTTCTTTAGAGGAAGATCAGGTCAGAGAATTTTTCATAGCCTGCTTCAGGGAAGAAAGGTATGGGGAAACTTGAGTTATCCTTTGCTTATGTAGTTTTCTCAATTTCTTTTAGCTTAAAATACTCCATATAACAAGATGCCATATTTTGGGATAACATGTCCTGAATCCCATCAAGGTCTTTCATAAAGTGGACCTACATCTCCTGTCTCACATCTGGTCAGCTCATAACACTCTATGGTACAACTGTACCAGATTAATCAAAATCCTTGTAATGCTCAGTATAATTTCATATATATTTCCCAGCTAGAATTCCTCCTTTCCCCTTGTCATCTGTTTCTCAATGTTGTATTTATTCAGTAAGAACCAAGGTAGTCGTCAATGTACTTCACTTGAGGCATTTTGCACATTCTTGAGTCTGCAACATGCTGCAGACTTGATAGCTCCATGAAGGCATTGAATACTTTGTGTTGTAATTATTATTTGTCTACAAAGATGTCTTTGTTACTAGACTGTAAGCTATACGTGATTTATGCATTTGTTTGCCTTACACTAGGCCCAGTACCTGACATAGAAATCATTCCATAGATGCCTAGTGCATTAATAAAATGATTAAATGAACTAATATAGCACAAATTGTTTTGTGTTATATTTTATATTAAGTGAACTAATATAACACAAATTATTTTGTACTGCTTCGTTCTTTATAAGGCAACTAAAGCAAAACCCTACACTTTACATCTCTTTTTATGCTCAGGATCTGAAATAGGATTTAGAAATAGATTCTCAAAAATTGTTTTCAAATGAGTTAATGAATAAATACTATTTCTGGACTAACATTAAATTTCTTTCTTAGTTACATTATTTTTAAATGAGCACAAAAATACAAGTTTAATTGTAACAAATATATAGTGGAGAGAAATCTTAGGCCAAATTGGCCAAATTATTTTTATTGGAAAAAAAAAGTAGATTCACTAACACTAGCCTTAAAAAGTAAAATCCTTATATGAGAATGACCTGAACAATTGATCTGCTGTCAAGCACTCCAACCAAGGTGATTAGTCTTTCATAAATAGCTCAATTTTTGTCTTCTTAAAAAAATAGTTCATTTTACATTATTAAAAGCCACAGGCAAAGCTGGAGTTTGTCTGAGTTTAGGGTACCTGGGGAAGATTGGAAGGTCCTTATGCATAGGAAATTAGTTTCCAAAGAGGAGTTAAGGAACAAATATTTTCAGTTTAATTGTTTATTTCCTAGAGCCTTACAGATTGTCATCTAATTTCAACAAACTCATAAATACTATTCAGCCATCGCTATTCATCTATTCACTCCAAATCATGAAACTACAGAAATGGATATAGAAATAGGTTTTGTAATAAAATATTCAGGCCCTGTAAGATTTCAAATTTCAGATAATATTCTCAGATTTTAATGTAACTTAAATATATCATTACAAATATACCTGTGGCATATTCTGGCATCTACAGTGCATTTCAGGATTTTAATAAATAGGCAAATCTTCAAAGATAAAGTAAGACATGAACAAAAGTGGGAGATAAACAATGATAGTGAGAATTCTATATTATACTTGAATGTCATAAGAAACTGAAATTCATGTCATTTCATGTTTCCAGCATTCAAACTGAATAATGTTTTTTAGACTTTTCTACTTCTATTTGGAATCTCATTTCTTTACATTTTCTGTTGTTGTTGCCACTGAAAAATGATACAGACTTCTTGCTTTCTTGTTTAAGGAAATAACAACTGTTGGAGACTGAGGATATCTGTTGCAAATTTCAGCTACAAAGATCTAAAGCCTTCAAAGTGTGTTTGTAATGGAAATTCCTATAGAATTTTTAAATGACATAGGAATTGAAGGTTTAAACATTATTTCATAAAAGCCTCTTTTTTCCTCTTTGATTACTAACATTTAAGGGTAAAAATTGTTTGAAAACCAAGGATTTATTTTACTTTAGAGTTTGCATATGATAAGAATTTTATCAACAAAAATTCTGTCTCAGCACTTAACCCACTTCAAATACAAGTTATACCAAAGAATCCTCCATCTAATACACAAGGGCTCTAAAGTAGCTTGGTAATTGAAAAAGTTTGCAATTTAATAAAACCTCGGTCATTGTTTTTTTTTCTATCATAAAGAATTCCTATATTGCCAAAATATTCTTATTTTTTAGATACCTATGTTTTTTTTCCTAGTTAGATATTAAACTCTGTCCAGTAGTAATGTGGAGCTATGCTGACAAGCGGCCACTTAAGCAATTATCGAATTGCAAGGTGAAATGGAATAACCCTGCTATCAAGTAGATTCTTAATAATATGCCATAACTGAATGAAGACATCAATGAAATACATTTTAAAATAATTATCCATCATGATAAACTTACTAAAATTAATTTCAAACTAGAATTATAACAATAATATAAATTTACTTGTAAGCAAAAGTAACTTGACCGAGTCAAGAAATTAGATTAAATGTACCAAAATTTATCTGCTTTTAAATTTAAGGCATATGTTTGCATGATTTAGGATATTGTAAAATGGTAGAAAAAAAGAGCAGAAATCTTTAAGAATATATAAACTGGTGTCCAAAGCCAAATTGCAAATGAGAGGACATTTGATTTTAGACATAAAAGTGAATAAACCTGAATATATATACAATAGAAATTATAGCAAGGATAAATGCTGAGGTCACTTAAAAGTTTTATTAACGATGAACTAGCTCAATCTTTTCTTACTTCATTTATAATAGATTGAGAAAAGTATTTGAGATGATGAAACTGTATGCAAAATAATTTAAATCTCAAAGCAGGAAATGTCACTATGCACATTTTATTGTTGTTATTAATAATAATATAAATTCAAAATATTGAAATACAGTCAGGGAAATTATGTCAGGGATTAGTTCAGTTCTATTGATAGTATATGGTAAGAAAAACTACTTCTAAAATGAGATATGGCTAATATGTTCTTTCACTATTGCACGGTGCTATTTACTCATTCATTCAAATATTTATTTTTATCTAGGTCATTCTTTCTTAAGGAAACACATATTAAAATATTATCTAGTGCAGAAATTATTTTTTGGCAAATTTTTAATAGTTTTAGTGGAAGTTTAAACATTTTGATTGATCAAGGAAGGAAAATTTGATACACTACAGTACAAATTTAACAAACCAAACTGATATACCTATTGTTTTAAAGAAAGATTGTCTCTTCTGGGTGATAGATAATGAAGAATTCAAATGGAACCTCAGAGTCAGCCACACACAAGTATCACCAGATATATGTCTTTCCAACCTAAATTTACTTCCATGGCATCATAGATTATAATTTTCTTCTACCAGTTCCAGATTACTTAATTAAGCATGAGGATAATCTTAATAAAAGTGTATCGCTAACTATGGAATGTACTTTTTTCACAATATTGTTTTCACTCAATAACAAATAGCCAGGAAAATGATCATAAAATGTTGTACTTTAGTAGATGTAGTAGATAACTAACTTTAAATGAAACCCTAGACCTTACTTTTTTGTTGTTGTTGTTTTGAGACAGAGTTTCACTCTTGCTGCCCAGGCTGGAGTGCAATGGCGCGATTTCCGCTCACTGCAACCTCCGCCATCTGGGTTCAAGCAATTCTCCTGCCTCAGCCTCCTGAGTAGCTGGGATTACAGGTGCCTGCCACCACACCCGGCTAATTTTTTGTATTTCTAGTAGAGAGGGGCTTTCACCGTGTTGGCCAGGCTGGTCTCGAACTCCTGACCTCAGGTGATCCACCCGCCTCGGCATCCCAAAGTGCTAGAAATACAGGCGTGAGCCAATGTGCCCAGCCCTAGACTTTATTTTTTAAAACTAGTTTTAGGTTTATGACAAAATTGAGCAGAAGGTACAGAGTTCTTCTAAGCCCCCTACCTTCCCCCGACATGCATAGCCTTTCCATTTTCAGTACCCACTACCAGAGTTGTACATTTATCACATGGATGAACCTACCTTGACACATCATCATCACCCCAAGTCCACACTTTACATTAGGTGCATTATATGGGTTTGGATAAACGTATAATGACATGTACTTACCATTATAGCAACACACAGAGGATTTCCATTGTCCTAAAAATCCTCTATCCTATTCATCCCTTCCTCACTCCTAGCTCCTGGCCACCACTGAACATTTTATTGT